>NC_000012.12:108672249-108823764 GCF_000001405.40 Homo sapiens
TAGTTACTCACAGAACCAAGGGAGGAGAGACTGCTGAATGTAACAGCTATGTGGTCTTGAAAATACAGAATACATCATTTTTAAATGGAGGGATAATAGACACAGCATGGGTTTTAAAAAGTTGTTTAGTTTTTCAACTAAAAGTCGTTTAGTTTTTTAACGATTTTCAGTATCATGGTATGGTGGTGGTATTAGTATTTTCACTCTGAGACTATTACATGTATAACGTGAAAAGACAAATGAGATAGATCAGGATGTTCTAATTCTTCTTCTGTATCCCTAAGACCCTGCATTCTCTGTGTGAAAGAAAGGAGATGGAGATGTAATTAATATTAAAGAGGTTAGGTAAATACAGGCATACCTCATTTTATTGCACTTCACAGATATTGTGGTGGTGTTTTTGTTTTGTTTTTTTTTTTAAACAAATTGAAGCTTTTTATCAACCCTAAGGCAAGTCTATCTGCACCATTTTTCCAACAGCGTATGTTCACTGTCTCTGTGTCACATTTTGGCAATTCTTGCAGGATTTCAAACTTTTTTGTTATTACTGTATCTGTTACAGTGATCAGTAATGTCTGATGTTACTACTGTAATTGTTTCGGGGCACTATGAACTGCACTCATATAAGACAGTGAACTTCATCGATAAACGCTGTGTGTTTTCTCATTGCTCCACCACCTGCTCTTCCTGTATTCCTGTCTCTTCCTCTCCTTGGGCCTCCCTATTATCTGAGACATAACAACATTGAAATTAGGCCAATTAATAACCCTAAATGACCTTTAAGTGTTTGGGTGAAAGGAAGAGTTGCACATTTCTCACTTTAAATAAAAAATTAGAAATGATTAAGCTTAGTGAGGAAGCCATGTTGAAAGCTGAAACAGGCCAAAAGCTAAGCGCCTCTTAAGCCAGTTAGCCAAGTTGTGAATGCAAAAGAAAAGTTCAGGAAATTAAAAGTGCTACTCCAGTGAACACATGAATGATAAAAAAGCAAAAACAGCCTTGTTTTAGTGGTCTGGATAGAAATACAAACCAGCCACAAGATTCCCTTAAGCCAAAGCCTAATCCAGAGCAAAGTCCTAACTCTCTTCAATTCCATGGAGGCTGACAGAGGTGAAGAAGCTGCAGAAGAAAAGTTGGAAACTAGCAGAGGTTAGTTCATGAGGTTAACGAAAGACGCCATCTCCATTATATAAAAGTACAAGGGAAAGCAGCAAGTGCTGATGGAGAAGCTGCAGCAAGTTATCCGGAAGGTCTGGATAAGATCATTGATGAAGGTGGCTACACTAAACAACACATTTTCAGTGTAGATGAAACAGCCTTTTACTGAAAGAAGATGCCATCTAGAACTTTCATGGCTAGAGAGGAGAAGTCAATGCCTGGCTTCAAAGCTTCAAAAGATGAGCTGCCTGTCTTGTTAGAGGCTCACGCAGCTGGTGACTTTAAGTTGACGCCAATGCTCATTTACCGCACCAAAAATCCTAGGGCCCTTAAGAATTATGCTAAATCATTAGGAGATATACCTAATGCTAAATGATGAGTTAATGGGTGCAGCACACCAGCATGGCACATGTATACATATGTAACTAACCTGCACATTGTGCACATGTACCCTAAAACTTAAAGTATAATAATAATAAAATAAAAAATAAATAAATAAATAATTATGCTAAATCTACTCTATGTTCTAGAAATGGAAAAACAAAGCATGAATGACAGCACATCTGTTTACTGCATGGTTTACTGAATATTTTAAGCCCACCATTGAGAACCACCGATCAGGAAAAAAAAAGATTCCTTACAAAATATTACTGCTCACCAACAATGCACCTTATCACCCAAGACCTCTGATGAAAATGTACAAGGAGATTAACGTTGTTTTCACCTGCTAACATCAATTCTGCAGCCCTTGGAACAAGGAATCATTTTGACTTTCAAATCTTATTATTTAAGAAATACATTTCATAAGGCTACAGCTACCACTGATAGTGATTCCCCTGATGGATCTGGGCAAAGTGAATTAAAAACCTTCTGGGCTGGGCACGGTGGCTCACACCTTTGGGAGGCCAAGGCGGGCGGATCGCGAGATCAGGAGATGGAGACCATCCTGGCTAACATGGTGAAACTCCATCTCTATTAAAAATACAAAAAATTAGCCGGGCATGGTGGCACATGACTGTAGTCCCAGCTACTCGGAGGGCTGAGGCAGGAGAATCGCTTGAACCCAGGAGGCGGAGGTTGCAGTGAGCCGAGATCGTACCACTGCGCTCCAGCCTGGGCGACAGAGCGAGACTCCGTCTCAATTTAAAAAAAAAAAAAAAAAAAACCTTCTGGAAAGGATTCACCATTTTAGGTGACATTAAGAAAATTCATGATTCGTGGAAGGAGTTCTAAATATCAACATTTGAGGAGTTCAAGACTTTGGTGGAAGAAGTAACTGTAGATATGGTGGAAATAGAGAACTAGAGAATAAAAAGTGGAGCCTCAAGATGTGAGTGAATTGCTGCAATCTCATGATAAAACTTGAACAGATGAGGAGTTGTTCCTTATGGATAAGCAAAGAAAATGGTCTCTTGAGATGGAATGTACTCCTGGTAACGACGCTGTGAACACTGTTGAAATGACAACAAAACATTTAGAATATTACTTACATAAACTTAGTTGATAAGGCAGCAAAAGGGTTTGAGAGGACTGACTCCAATTTTGAAAGAAGTTCTATGGCAGGTAAAATGCTATCAAACAGCATCACATGCTACAGAGAAAGCTTTTGTGAGAGGCCAAGTCAATCAGTATGACAAACTTTATTGTCGTGGTCTCATCCAGCCCAACCTTCAGCAACCACCACCCTCATCAGTCAGCAGCCATCAACACTGAGGGGAAACCCTCCACAGCAAAAAGATTACACTCTCTTTGGTAATACAGTATTTTTAAATGTATATATATATATACATAATGCTACTGCATACTTAATAGATATAATTTTCCCTTAAAATAAACCAGGACTTCCGAAAGAAATGGCTTGGGCAGGGATGTCCAAAGTGAGCCTGAAACACCTCAACATATCACATAGCAAGGAATCTATCTATCAAAGACTCAAAGACTATGATGGTCATTTCAAAAGGACTCAGAAATCTTGAAGAGGTTTCAATGGGAAAAGGCGAGAAAGTCGGCTTTGAGATAAGAATTATAATGGATTGAACCCATCAAATATGTTCAAATCCATGACTTCAAAATGAAAGGAACGGGGAAAAAAAAACCCTAATTTGTCACCTTCTGAGGATGACAGAGAATCAATTCATTATCTTGAGAACTAGGTAAATAAAAGGAAAGAATCAAGCACTTATCCTGCTTTCCTAAATGAACTATACTATTTGGTAACTAAATAGTAAGTAAGTGAGGACATTATCTTATAAAATTTTACCAGCTAAAAATTGAAAACAAAATGACAGAATTTACTGTCACCATATTGCAACCCCTAGTGAATGACTGGATATAGGCACAGAATACACAAATGGAAAAAGGATGAAACCCAGACACTGTGACATCATGTGCTTCCTAGCGTATGGAAGAACATAATGCGAACAATATAGTCTAGCCAAAAGGACAGAACCTGAATCTGACCGCACTTCAGGTTCCAGCTGCCAATTTGCAGGAAATTCAGAGGACAGAGGAGCAAGCTGAACTGCAACATGAGGGTACAATCAGCAAAATCCAGATGGTTGAAAAGCACAGGTCAAAGGTCAGGGCTTCCGAATAGATAAATTGTAGGGAAAAGAAAATGATGAAGGAGGAATCTTTAGATTAAGACTTAAAAGACTACATATCAAGTTTTTAAAACTGGCAAGACCAATCTAGAGTCTAGAGGTATACACCTGAGTGATTACCACTACAAAGAAAGGCAAGGAAATGAGTATTACAAAAGTCAGGAGAGTGGTTACTTTGAGAGGGAGGAGGGATGTTGTGACTGGGATGGGGCACATGGAGAAGTCTGAGGAGGTTGGGAAAGTTCTACTTTTTGACATGGAAGGTGGTTTCATGGTGTTCGCTATGTCATAAATCACTTAACTCCCTGAGTCTGCTTTTTCACTTAACTATTTGGTGTGTTTTTCTGTTTTATAATACACACTATTTTTTTTAAAAGGATAACGTGACCAGTAATGCTAGAGACAGGGAGAGCCAGAGATGGATCAAACCTGCTTCTTCAAAAGAGGTTCAGACTCTCCGTTTAAGATTCTGGCATCAGAGTTAGGCGCAGTGGCTCGTGCCTGTAATCCCAGCACTTTGGGAGGCTGAGGCGGGGGGATCACTTGAGGTCAGGAGTTCGAGACCAGCCTGGCCAACATGATGAAACTCCGTTTCTACTAAAAACATAAAAATTAGCCAGGCATGGTGGCGCAGGGCTGTAATCCCAGCTACTCGGGAGGCTGAGGCAGGAGAATCACTTGAACCTGGGAGGTAGAGGTTGCAGTGAGCTGAGATCACGCCATTATACTCCAACCTGGGTGACAAAGTGAGACTCCATCCCAAAAAAAAAAAAAAAAATTCTGGCATCAGGTCTAAACGATATTCCTTTCTCTTAACAAAATGCGTCCATAGCCATTAAAATGATCAATTTAGCAAGGCACATTAAACAGAACAATTCCCTTTCACAGCAGCGTATTTCCTTAATATGCTTTAGCTGCCAAAATTATGAGATCACAGGAGGAGACATTCCCAGCCAAAAGCCCATGAGGAAAAGCGGGTAAATGTTTAAATGACACAGTTCAGGAATTAATTTGTATTTATGTAAAATAATTTTAATTAATAAAGCTTTCCAAACAATGTTTCAGTCCACAGCCAATAGAGAGGAAAATAAAAGTAGCATGGTTCTCCAATGCTGACACGTGCGAGACTACCTGACATGTGCGAGACTGCTTACAAATTAATTAGAGACCATCTTCCCTTATTTCAGGGGCAGCAAGTACTCCCATTTGTGTTTATGCCTAACCTTTTCAGCCTACTTTGGGCTAGCATTAAAAACTGATCCAAACCAATAATCACATTTTAAAGTTAAAAATCATAACTAAGGACAAGAAATCATATTAAAAAGTATTCCAAAGCCTTGTTTCACACATAACCTACTTTTGGAAACTAAAGGAGGGAATGTAAAGTACTTAATTCACCTTTCACGTTTTTTGTTTGTATATCTTTATGAAAAGGACTTTCTTAACCAGGGTCCACTGGACAGAACACAGTTCTGCCATTAGCTTGGAAACAAGCAATTGCAAAAACTCTTTTACCACCTGTGACATATCCCATTTTATCTGCATAACTTTGGCATCTTACGTCACTGTCTTGTACAGTCTGTGCCAGCAGTTTCAGTTTTTTCTCTCCTTTTGGGGCGAGGGGAAATTCATGTGGTCAAATGGCATTACAGAATTACTGAAAAGTCACTTTACTTTCCCTAAAATCTTCCAACAGAGAACATGTCAACTGTCAATAAGCACATACACAAACACACTCACAGAAAAGACTGTAATCCCAGCACTTTGGGAGGCCGAGGCAGGCGGATCACTTGAGGTCAGGAGTTCGAGACCAGCCTGGCCAACATGGTGAAACCTCGTCTCTATTAAAAATACAAAAATTAGCCAGGTGTGGTAGCAGATGCCTGTAATCCCAATTACTCGGGAGGCTGAGGCAGGAGAATCACTTGAACCCGGGAGGCGGAGGTTACAGTGAGCCGAGATCATGCCACTGCACTCCAGCCTGGGTGACAGAGCAAGACTCCATCTCAAAAAAAAAAAAGAAAAAGAAAGACACGGCAGACACTGCAGTACAACCTTTTTGATTTAAGGGCTTCTTGAAAGGATTATCTGTAATTAAACTTAAACGTAGTAAATTATTGTAAAATCCAACAGACAGTCAAAACTGCTATAACGTTCTGCTTTTCAAGCCTCTATACATACACACACACCCACACACATGCTTTTGAAAGCAGTAGGTGAGTCTCACTGGCCTGTGTGCACACAACACCCTGGGAGCTTACCATGACCGTGCAGTCCTCTGAACCGCTGGCAATGACCTGATCGTTATGTGGGCACCAGTCTATGTCCAGCACTGGTCCTGTGTGGCCACATACTGTAGGGTAAGATTTGTCAATTCGACCAGTCTGAAAGAAGAGAGAAACAAACCTATTATGTAATATCAACACCACAGACGTTATACATTTTCTCAGGCCCATTTCTCATTTATTACCTCCACCCAAAACTCTCAATTTTCTAGATATGACATCGTATAGTCAATATCAACTTTCACTTCTAGAAAAAGCCACTACCAAGGACATGCGATCAAATTACAAGAATCCAAATCCCTAGAACCAAAAAGATGTAACCAACTGCACTAGCAGACATAGCAAAAGAGAATATGAAAGTCTTTTTGCCAAAATACAATTCTAAATAGCCAAATTGTAAATTAAAAGGATGTTCCATGGCTTAAAAAAAAAAAAAAAAAAACCCTAAACCTTGGTATTATTCAAAATGTTAATACAATAAGACAATATCCTCCAATATATAAATTACCAGTTCTGGAAATGAATGGCACTATTAAAATGTAAAGGCCGGGCGCGGTGGCTCACGCCTATAATCCCAGCACTTTGGGAGGCTGAGGCAGGTGGATCATGAGGTCAGGAGATCCTGGCCAACAAGGTGAAACCCCACCTCTACTAAAAATACAAAAATTAGCTGGTCGTGGTGGTGTGCGCCTGTAGTCCCAGCTACTTGGGAGGCTGAGGCAGGAGTATCGCTTGAACCCGGTAGGCAGAGGTTGCAGTGAGCCGAGATCGTGCCACTACACTCCAGCCTGGCGACAGAGAGAGACTCTGTCTCAAAAAAAAAAAAAAAAAAAAGAAACAAGAAAAAAGAAAAAAAAAAAGAAATTTAAAAAGTTAAAAAAAAAAAAAAAAGAAAAGCTTTAGCTATCATTAGGGCCTAAAGAGCCTACTACATTGTAATGTCTCAGTCTCTCTGCTATCCTCAATCAACAGAAATGCCAGCCAGACAATCTAGTTAACACCAACTTAGACCTCACCCATTAGCCAGTTCCACATCTGATTAAGAATAAAATGCTTAATGTTGGTCATAAATAGCTACCACAATTTGCTCATGTCACACATTTGAATCTAGCAAACCAACCAGGGTTATCAGACCAATTTTGTGTCAACTAAGACAACTGCTATTGTTAACAATGGGTATATGAAAGTGGTTTCCTTTTTAAAATAGCTTAATGCCAGTCCACGCTGAAGCTGTGTATGCTTTAAGAGCAGGTGCACAGAAAGGAACCACTGCAATGTATGGCTTAATCTATTTTTTGTTGTTTTTGCTCTTATATGGCAAATCATCCCAACACTGGAGCAGGCTTCTTAGCAATTTTTCAAGAACAGAAATTTCTATGATTTCTCCAATTTGACTTGACTGTGCAAATCTCCAGGAAAGCAGAACGTTAACGTGTAAAGACCACAGGCTCTGGAATAAGACAGGTAAGGGTTCAAATCCAGGCTCTACTGATTAAACAGGTGACTTTAGACAAGTCATGTAATCTCTCTAAGCTTCACCTCATTCGTCATCTGTAAAATAGTTAACAATGATACTTATTAACTCCCACAATTACCGTAAGGATTAAATGAGAGAACACTTTTAGATAAATCACAATTCAGTATTACAATTATCTGTAAAATAAGTAAAAAAATTAACCACAGTATCTGGAATAAAATATCCAATAAAAGCTGTCACATTATTAGTTCTTCTAGTACAATAATTTACTCCATCATTAAGAATTAACAAATATGTGTTGTGAACTTTTATGGACCAGACATTGTGCTGAGTGCTGGAGATACAGACGTGAACAAGGCAGTCCTGTCCTGGCTAAATGTGGAGCCCAGTGAGAGGAGAGAGACATTTAAACAGCCAATTATGGTGCCACATAGGAACAGAGAAGGAAGACATTCAAGCAGGTTTGTGGGGTCACAGTCTCTGGAGAGGTTTTCTTCTGGGAAAGGTAAGTTCTAAGTTGAGGCCTGAATATGGCCCTGTTTACAGACCTAAGGCCTAGGTTTCTTCACATTCCTCCACTTTCCCTTGCAACCCAGTTTGGATCTTCCAAAACGCATCACCAAAAAAGGACTTCAAAAAAGGAAATTCCAATGAACACCATATCATATAGAATCTGGGTGTCACAGGAAGGAGCCACACAGTTCATTTACAGGCAGCGAAGTATAAATGGTTGAGAACCAGACTGCCCAGAGTGTAGTCATGGTTCTGCCATCTTCTAGCTGTGAAGTCCTAGCCAAATTACTCCATCCCTCAACCTCGGTTCCTCATCTATAAAACTAGAATGTTTAACAGTTTATTCCTTAAGAGCTGATGTGAGGACTAAATGAGACAATCAAGGTAAAGAACTTGGTTCTGCCCCAGCACTTGAAGTACTCAATAAACATTACCCGAAATTTAACAAATGCTGGAATCTACCACATTTCTGATGGTGTCTCTCCTTAAAGAACGACCAGCTACTAGGTCTAAGCCACGTGGTTTTGCTTATCTTATTGCATTCTCACAAAAATCATGCAGGTAAGATGGAGATTTCACTTGCATCCTTGAGTTACTACCCCAGGTAATATTGTTGCTTAAGCTGATGGTACTGGGATCACAGGCATTCATCCTATTTTACATAATTATTAAACTATAGATACAGTAACTCTTTTGAATGTGTGCTCTCTTTCTCCTTCCTTTCTTTCTCTCTCTCTCTTGTTCTTGTCTCACGTTGCCTAGGCTGGAATGCTGTGGCCATTCACAGGCACAATCATAGCTCACTCCTGGCCTCAAGAGATCCTCCTGCCTCAGCCTCCTACATAGCTGGAACTATAGGTGTGTGCCACCATGCGTGGCTTGAATGTGTGATATTTCATAACTTAAAACATCCTAAGGCTGGAAGGCCAGAATGAAGTTTGACACACATTTAAATAGACAAACCAAAAGGAGAGAATTAAAAGAATGGAACAGAGGCAAAAATTAAAGAGATAATGTCTGAGAATTTTTCAGGTTCAGTTAAATGCATAAGTCTTTAGATTTAAGATGCACAAATCCCACCTCCGGCAGTATAAGTGAAAACAAATTCTTATCTATTCATATCCTAGTGCAATTTAGAACACCTAAAACAAAGAGAAGATCCCAGAAGCAACAACAGAGAAAGGACAGATTACCTACTGACAGAGTAATTAGACTGATTGTGAGCAGATTTCTCAGAAGCAATCAGAGAAACAAAAAAATGGAAAACATCTTGGAAATGCTAAGAAAAACCACCACCCTTGTATTCCATACCCAGAAAAACTATCATTCAAGAATGATGACAAGAAAAAAGCAAACAAAAGGCACTGCAGACAAAAAGAGACAGAATTTACCATGGGTAAACCCTTGTTCAAAAAATTAAATTCTTAGATTTGTCTCAAAGAATTGCTATATTAATTTTGAAGAATTAAGTTTAAGGACTCATTTCAGGAAAAGAAAGTAAAGTAGAAAGGTATAGCAAAACAACAGTGAGCAAATAAATAAATAAAGCAAATACAAACAGGTACTATGTAAAACAGTACTAATAATACCAACTTGGAGTACAGATTTTAAAAAGACAGAAACAAAACATTAGACAACAATACCATTTAAGGTAAAAGGCATATGATCAGACTTAAAAATTGACTAATTTTAGACTTTAAATAAAGATATCCAAATGCAGAGTAAATACTAAAAGGAAAGAGAGAGAATGTATAATTTCTGGGGGTGGGTGGGGGTGGAGGTGTACTACAATAGCTAGAATTTAAAAACTGGCTCAATCCAATAGAAAGAGAAAATAAAAAGAAAAAAAGGACCAAAGAAAGTATGAATGCAACTCATGAAAAGCAGAGACAAATTTTTTAAGAAAAAAAAGCATGAAAACTAGAAAGCACAAAGATGGTGGAAATAAAACCAACTATAAATCATGATTTGTAGTAAATGCAAGATTAAGCTCACTAGATAAGACAAGGCCTCTCAGATTAGATTATATCCAGCTACACATATTTTAAAAAAATAATGGCACCAAAAGGCAAATAAAGGAGGGCGGCATATTAAAAAGTATACCTGGTAGTTAATACCAGAACAAACAGACTTTAAGGTGAAATGCACTATTAGCGATTAATGTCACTATCTGACATCTAAAGAAACAATTCACTGGAAAGTTATATTGCCACTATAAACTGTAATTCATCTAACCATATAATTTCAAAATAATTAAGGCAAACGTTGACAGAACTTGAAGAAAATGACAAAGTCATAATCGTAAGAGATGTCAACAAAGATTTAAGAAATTAAACAGACAAAATTAATATGAATACAGAAGATTTTATAAAAATTAACAACTTTGATCTAATGAATATATATAACCTTGTACCTAACATTTAAAAATACACTTTTTTCAAACATACATTAAACATTAATTTGTTTTAAATTATCAATTAGGAGACCACAAAGCAAATCTCAAAAAATACCAAGGAGTCAATAGCAGGTAGAGCATCTTCTGAGTATAATGCAATACAATTAAAAATTAATAGAAAAATAAACCAAAAATCTCCAGTACATTTGAAAATATTTTAATTTACTAAATAATTGTTTTTTAAAAATCATAATGGATAACAGAATGAAAGTTAAAACTGAGCAATACACAACATATCCAAATGTGCAACATACAACTAAAACAGATCTTAGTGAAAAATGGACAGTCTTAAATGCATATAGTAGAAAAGACTGAAAATTAATGCATTGAGTTGCTACCTTGAGAAGTTAGAAAATGAACAGAGTACATCCAAAGAATGTAAAATTATTAGAAAAGATGCCAGGTACAGTGGCTCATGCCTGTAATCCCAGCATTTTGGGAGGCCAAGGCAGGCAGATCATGAGGTTAGGAGTTCGGGACCAGCCTGGCCAACATAGTGAAACCCCGTCTCTGCTAAAAATACAAAAACTTAGCCAGGCATGGTGGTGGGTGCCTGTAATTCCAGCTACTCAGGAGGCTGAGGCAGGAGAAGTGCTTGAACCTGAGAGGCAGAGGTTGCAGTGAGCTGAGATCGCACCATTGCACTCCAGTCCGGGCAACAGTGCAAGACTCTGTCTCAAAAAAAAAAAAAAAGAGGAAAAAAAGAAGTCAGTGGAAAAAAAATAAATAACAAAATCAACTAAACTGGATAGATCAGGAAAAGAGATAAGGCACAAATGAATACCAATAATTTTAAAAGGGACATAACTTACAAATAAAGTAGAAATTTACAGAGTATGAAAACACTAGGAATAACATTTGACAATATATATAAAATTGAATAATCTAGATGAAATACACAATCTCACAGAAGTAAAAGTAACATCAAAAGATTTTCAAGAATAAATAAATGTAAATTAGATCCATAACCATAAAAGATCAGTAGTATAACTCTACCCATCACCACCTCCCAATCAATCAATCAATCAGCAAATACCAAAAAACACTAGGCCCAGATGGTTTTACAGGTGAGTGTCACCAAATATTCAAGGAAGAGATCATTTCAAACAAAGCTTTCCAGAGAACAGAAAAAAGAAAAGTGCCACTGAATTCATCATATAAGGAATGTAACACCTTGATACAAAGGACAGTATAAGGGAGAAAAATTGAAGCCTATATGACTTATAAATACTGATGCAAAGCTCCTCACAAACAGCAACAAAAGCAAACCAAATTCAGCAGTGTGAGTTGTTCTTTAAAAATGTAAATGAACAGACAAGTTACAAAGTGCAAGAAGAGGTATGCAACATACATACCTAACAAAATCAACAACCAAACAGAACGATGGGCAAATTACACAAGCAGAGAACTCACAGCGAAGAAAATCTGAAGACGCAATAGATGTGTGAAAAGATACTTCAATCTCACTGATAATTAGAGAACTGCAAATTAAAACAACATGGTCACATTTTATACTCATCAAAACTGGTGAAAATGTAAAAGTATAAATATAAGTGCTGACAAGGATGTCAGGAAAGAGGAACTCATAAACTGCTTACAGAACACCTTGTTACAATTCCTTTCAAGAGCAATTTGGTAACAGGTAGAGGTGAGGAAGTCCAGCCCAGCAATGCCACTTCTAGGTGGTCTGGGTGAGAGAGATGCTCCCATATTTTGTACAAGAGGAATATTTATTGCCGCATTGTTGGAAATAGTGGCAAAAGCAGAAGCAATTTCACTGTCCTTCAGTATGGGAATACATATTTACATAAAAGTTTAAGGCACGCGAAATAAAAGTACATGTTACAGATAAACATATATGTAATAAAAATATGATACATATTTGAAGAAAAGATTACCTCTGGGGAAGGAGAAAATAAATAAGAATGGTATTCTACCTGTATCTGTTATGCTTTATTACTTTTTTCAAAAAGGGGAGATATGAAACAAATATGGCAAAATATTAACATCTGTTTAATCTTGTGAGTACATGTGTGTCCTATTATTTTGATACATCTTATTTTGAAAAAAAGAATTTAAAATATAATAAAGTTAAGAAATACACCAATGCATTATTATTAAATTTGCATTAAAATTTTTTTTTACTCCCAAGGAAAAAAGCTTTTCTACCTGAATTGTTTTGTTTTACATCAGGGTCTTTGCATTCCTAGGCTCTGCCCAGGAAACCACATTTGGCATCCTTGATGGCCAACTATAGTACTGAGCTCTGAACTTCCAAGAACACCAAATGATTTTTTCCAATCTGGGCTAAGAAGCGCTTTTATTCAAACACAAAGCAATTTTGAGGGGAATCTGGAAGTACTAGCACTAGTTGTTCTTAATTACATACTAAGAAGCTTCTTACTAAATGACTTCTTTTTTGAAGTTAAAATTAAATAACCCTGGCTAAAAGTTAATAGCTATTCACCAGTATTCTTCAGTCAAGATATCTGAGAATAATAATAAGCATTACTGCCATTCCCAGCTCAGCCCCAATAAATCCACAGCCTGAAAGTACTAGAGCTCAACATTTTCTCTGGAACCTGAATGTCACTGAAAGAGCAACTGCCAGCTATTTCTGTCCTTTCTATCAAAACAAATAATAACAATGGCTAACACTTTTTAAGTACTTAAATTACAAGCTAGGAACTGTCTGAAGACCTTGATAACTTTGTCCTCATGACAACCTTTAAGATGTGGGAATCTTATCACCCTATTTTCCAAATAAAGAAACTGAGGCACAGAGAAAGTCAAGAAGCAAAGATCTAAAATATCACTGACCAACCATACTAGATTTGGATAGGGAAAGAAAATTTCCACTATGCCATGGGTTGTAAAAAAAAGGCACACAAGTAATGTTAAAAATTATTGGCAATTGGCCATCAGAAACACAGTTAATAAAAAATGATATTCTACAAGCAGCTGCTTCCTCTGGTTGTGATGTCATCATAAATCCTTAAATAAAACAGAGAAAGTAGTATTCTACTGTAGCACAAGAGAAAAGCAATTGACTAAATATCTGACAGTGATAAAAGAACAAAAATGTGAAGACAGTATGGGGGTAGATGGCATTTTAAAGGTACACTGATTATTTGGCATGCTGGATGTTCACAAACACACAGTCAAGTATCAGCTATCCTGCTTTCAAGGGCTTACACCTCTAAGTATCTTCTTACTCATAATGAAATCAAAACAAAAGCACAACAACATATTTCACCAAATCAGCATACGTTATTAAAAATACAAAGCTGGGCACTTACAAACTGCTGAGGGCTCCAGTTCATGGAGATTAAAGGAAACCATACTAATAACGGCCTTATATGGTAAAGATGAGGAAACATCATTCTGAAAGACATTTTGCACTAGGATCTAATAAGAACACAATTCTCATTCGTCTGCACGACACATACTGATTTATCATGTAGTGAACAAACCAAAGAATCCATGTATAATTAGCTAGATTGTGAGGGGCCACTCAGAAAGACATCCACCACATGTCATGGTGACAACACAGTTTACCTGAACCTCTAAGCAGCAAATTTAAATGAATGCAGAGGCTGAAAGGAAGATGTACAAGAATTAAAGCCAGCTTTTAGATATCTTTTTAAACTAAAAAATGAATTATTTAAGAAACTCCCACCAATCTTCTAAAGCTTAGAGATAGAAAAACTTCACTTTACTAACAGATCAGTCCACTATTTCACTAGGGATAAATCACCTCTGTTGCTTAATCTAGAATATTACTACTTTTCTGGCATGAAATTGAAGTAGTTTAGCTGAAAATGTAATAGCCATTAGACTCCTTGCTTTAAATAAATTTTGATTCATTGATTACTTACTAGTCCCAATCACATGCCATAGGATAGCTTTTGTTATACCTTTCTAGCTAAAACTCCAAATGATTGGGATTACTAGCATGTCAACCCAACAGGTGGCAAAAATGGCCAGCACCAAGTTTCCCAAAGGCTCTGCTCCAGAGCCAGTTCATAAACTCGTGGGACATTGGTGAAATAGGTCAGGACACTGGCCTACAGACATTATTATCTGAAAGATCCAGTACAGCCTGCCCAGAGCCAAGCAACATGAGCCGAAAGGAAAATTCAGCTTCCAAAGCATGTATACAGCTGGCACAAGGGAGAGGTGTAATGGCACAATTTCCACGTGGCTGGCCAGAGCTAAGGGTGATGTCTTATGAGCATGTTCCAGCCAGCAACCTTCACCGTGGCAGAAACCGTCCCAGATACAAGCACTATCATTTGCTTTGGGGAAAACACTTAAAAATCTTGAAGTAGCTACAACACAGCCGAGTTCCTGGAGACTGATACTTCAACTAAACCCACAGAGTTAGGCAACATTTCCTCCAATGGGCATTTTGCGGGGAGAAAGTGAATGAAAATCAAAATGTAAGCATCAGTAAAAATATAACTTTATCAAATTGCTATAAAAGGAAAGTTCAATAACTTAAATGACTTAGCAAAAAACATTCCTCTTTAGGCACACTAAATTCAACATAAATCTTAAGAAATCCGGCGAAACCCTGTCCCTACAAATATAAAAATTAGTCAGGTGTAGTGGTGCGCACCTGTAGTCCCAGCTACTTGGGAGGCTGAGGTGGGAGGATCACCTGAGCCCAGGAGGTCAAGGCTGCAGTGAACTATGATCGCGCCACTGCACTCCAGCCTGGGTGACAGAGTAAGACCCTGTTTCAAAAAAATAATAATAAGGCCAGGTGCAGTGGCTCACGCCTGTAATCTCAGCACTTTGGGAGGCTGAGGCGGGCGGATCACTTGAGGTCAGGAGTTCGAGACCAGCCTGGCCAACATGATGAAACTCCATCTTTACGAAAATTACAAAAATTAGCTGCGCTTGATGGTGTGTGCCTATAGTCCCAGCTACTCAGGAGGCTGAGGCACGAGAATCGCTTGAACCTGGGAGGCAGAGGTTTCAGTGAGCCAAGATCGCGCCAGTGTACTCCAGCCTGGGTGACAGCGAGACTCTGTCTCAATAATAATAATAACAATTTAATTAAAATTAAAAAAAGAAAAAAGAAGAAATGATATTGCTTAGCTGTAAGGGCACTTCCTATCAATCTTACTGGAAAATCACAACAGCTTCCACTTATTAACAATGTATCCCCTCTGACCCTTTTTTTTTTTTTGAGACGGAGTCTCACTCTGTCACCCAGGCTGGAGTGCAGTGGTGCAATCTCAGCTCACTGCATGCAACCTCCACCTCCCAGGTACAGGCGATTCTCCCGCCTCAGCCTCCTGAGTAGCTGGGATTACAGGCACACGCCACCACGTCCAGCTAATTTTTGTATTTTTTTTCACTATGTTGACCAGGCTGGTCTCAAACTCCTGACCTCAGGTGATCTGCCCACCTCAGCCTCCCAAAGTGCTGAGATTACAGGTGTGAGCCACCGTGCCCAGCCCAGTATATCTTATTTATCGATCTCACATCTCCTTCTAAAAAGGAATCCACATTTAAGAAGTAGACTCATCCTATATATTGAGGGCAGTACTGAGTACAATAAAAAAAACTGTTAATGTACACAAACATGTACAGAAAATTTCTGACAGACACGTCTCAATAAAGTTCTGTGCTGGGGTGTGTTTTTAAAGCAGCTAGTGGTGTATTACACATGTACCGCAGCCATGTTCACCTTCCCAAACTCTCGAAATTCAACATTGGGAATTTTGCTTCCAATATGTCCTACATATTACAAAAGATCATTCAGAATGACTGTTTCTTCATGTAAGAATGATTCCTCACATAATTATTTCTGACCCACATATTGGTTTGTGGTTGAAGACACTACCAATTGGTGTTAAAATGGATCAATCTAAGCTGGGCACGGTGGCTCACACCTGTAATCCCAGCACTTTGAGAGGCCGAGGCAGGTGGATCATCTGAGGTCAGGAGTTCAAGACCAGCCTGGCCAACACGGTGAAACTTCATCTCTACTAAAAATACAGGCCGGGCACGGTGGCTCACACTTGTAATCCCAGCACTTTGGGAAACCAAGGCAGGCAGATAGGTCAGGAGTTCGAGACCAGCCTGGCCAAAATGGTGAAATCTCGTCTCTACTAAAAATACAAAAATTAGCCCGTTGTGGTGGCACATGCCTGTAATCCCGGCTACTCGGGAGGGCTGAGGCAGGAGAATTGCTTGAGCCTGGGAGACGGAGGTTGCAGTGAGCTGAGAGCGTACCACTACACTCCAGCCTGGGCGACAGAATGAGACTCTGTCTCAGAAAAAAAAAAAAAAAAAATTAGCCGGGCATGGTGTTGGGCACCTGTAATCCCAGCTACTTGGGAGGCTGAGGTGGGAGAATCACTTGAACCCGGAAGGCGGAGGTTGCAGTGAGCTGAGATCGCACCACTGCACTCCAGCCTGGGCAACAGAGCGAGACTCCATCTCTGAAAAAACAAAAAAAGATGGATCAATCTGATAATCACTGGTTCCTGCAAGAAAGGAAATGTAACATTATGTTAAAGTCGCACAACGCTTTACCCAGCAGGCCTACTCTTTCTCATAACTAATGTATGTTTTCACAAAGTAATAAATTCCCATGGTGATAAAAAGTGACACATTCATTCGAGTGATAAGTCAAATCAAATATTCCCCTTTAAGAAGCTCAAGGTATCCCACACACAATTTCTTTCAAGTTTGCATTCTGGAGTGTATCATATAAACCCACACCTTCCTAGGGTGCTGGATTCAGACTGCTTTCTACACGGTTTCCCTTATCTAATCCAACTCAGGCAGCTGTCTCACTTCCAGTACTTTTCCATCTCCTGATCTGCAGTCCTCTATGCCTATTATCCAGACTGGTTACACCACCCGAAGATGTAAGGGCCTAAGAGCCCCCACCCCATCCTGGGGAAGGCAAACAAAGATACTTTACATGACCTGACTCAAAGAACAGTTAAAAGATTTCCACATTGTTCAAACCCCTACCTAATATTCATCTAAGTTTTCATTTTAGGAAAAAATGAGTATCAAAATCACTTTATGTGCCCAAATTTCAATCATAACTTATTTTTGGCTTTGGGTGATACATACTGAGAATTCTTCAACTCAGCAAGGAGAATGTTAAGTCACACATGTGCTCAGAAGTAGAGGAAAAGTTTTCAGCCCA
Organism: Homo sapiens; assembly: GCF_000001405.40. Classification (NCBI taxonomy): domain Eukaryota; kingdom Metazoa; phylum Chordata; class Mammalia; order Primates; family Hominidae; genus Homo; species Homo sapiens. The sequence continues at coordinate 108,689,921 of NC_000012.12, forward strand.
AGCATAAGGGCTCCATTCACACTGTGCAGAGTTCAAAGGAGTCAAAAGCGTATCTATTGAAGTGGGTTTTCCATTTTTTTCAACTTCCTTTTTCTTATGACAGTATTATTTATGTGGATACATGTTTTGTTTGAATTTCTTAAGCCCCTGCTGCTCCACGGGGAGGAGCTAGAGTGATTGTGGTCATGGGACAAGGGGACAGCGGCATGGAAAACAGAGACTCAGCAGCAGACCAAAAAGACGGGTGCACACAATATATGACTTGTGCACAGGCTGGTCCCTGAGAGTGACAGCTCATGGCCCAGGAATAAAACATTCTGAGGAGGCTTTACTTTAAGGGAACCAGAAATACCATCCTTGAGGTAAAAGGAGGTGCTCTGGAATAAACCCTACAGATTGAGTTACCCTGTAAGGTAAGGTAAGCTAGAAACAAAAGCTGCTGGGGAGAGGGAGTATGGGCCTACAGAGACTTCACCTGCCTGTGAGTAAAAAACAGCAGTCTTTTTGGACAGAAGTGAAAATGCCAAGCAAATAATTTTTGCATCACAGATCCTCTCTAAAAACTGGGTTTAATACTGAATAGACCATATTTTAAAATCAATTAAGAACTTGAGGGAAGTTATTGTAAAACTACAAACATTTTATTATCAGAAAGCAAAAACACGGAAAAGTTAACATTTCCTTACTCAACCTTGCCCAAATATGCGATAGCAACCAGAGTAGCTGTATTTCCTAACTTCCTGACTTAAAGAATTTATAAAGTGAAAACCTAATGCTTTCTGCTCATTATTGCAGACAAGTAATTCCATATGATGCTTCTGGGCTGAGAACAAATAAAAACTTGGAACCCAAGATGAGGTAGAATCTAGTTAAAATAAAATTGAGCTAGAAAGCAAAAGCTGAAAAGCAGAAGAACTACAGATGTAAATGCAATATGGAAAATTAAAGCATTCAATATCAAATCAGAAAATAGAGAAACTGGTTGTCTAAGCCCTCGTAGTAAGCAAATGACATTGGAGATTGATCTACTGAAACCCTCTGTGAACGCTGAAGAGCTCCAGGGCTAACCCTTCCCATTGCAGCTCTGCATTGGTTTAATCCACAGGTCTCAGAATGAAAATCCACCCTCCTTGGATGGTGGAGATGATAAATAGAAAAATATTACAACTTTTTTTGGGGGGTGGGAGGGGCTAATGCCTTGGGCTCCATGGCTGAGTCAGTTCCACACAAGCAAGAGGACTGCAGTATAGACTCAATTCAGTCAGCCAGAAATGAAACCCAAGTCACCGTTCCTCCAAGAAAGCAGACATGTGTCCCATCACATGCCCTCTCAGCTCATTCTTCCCCAGACTCAACTCAGGTCCCACCCCTAATGGGCGAAGATATTCAACTTGGCAGGAGCAGATGATTTGCTACATGTGGTTATAAGGTGGCTTCTGGGCAAAACCGTGACTCCAGAAATGTGTTCATGACACCTTGAGTTTATTTCAGAGTAATGTGTGTTCAGATACCTTTCTTTACCGGAGATACAGCAGCTTTCCCAGACTGGGGTTACCATGTTTACACACTGAGGGCTTCTGCTGGCAGCAATTGTCAGCCTGCTTAGCACAGACTGGCACGCTCCACAAACCCAGTAAAGAGTTAAACGTTCTTTGCACTTGACTCAGTGGCTTCTCTTCACCACACACTCCCAGATCCCACCATTCTCTGAGCCACCCGTGCAGCCAATCAAAGCAAAGGAAGGAAATTATCCTGGCCGGCTGACAGCCACAGCGCTCTGATGGCCATATATGGTAAAAACCACTGTCAGAGCCCTGTCAGGCCTGCGGGCCGGCTGCTGTGGACATATCAGTGAACTGCAGCAGCAGGAGAAGCTGGCCAAGGAAACGCACAAAGGCTGCCTGCTCATCTCCAGGGGAGGGGGTGGGGTGGAAACCATCATCTGCCAGGGCACACATTCAGTGAGTCACAGCCACTCACTGTCATCAAAAATAGCCCCGGGGTACATTGGGAAGTTCCTTCTGCCAGGACTTTGTGCTCCATTGTTAACTGGGGGTGAGCAGGGTGCCCACCCCACCCCTCCCAGCAAAACTGTGGATAACACAGTCACTAGGAGAAAATGAAAAGGCCCTTCTGTGGCACTTCATGTGGTAATGAGGCCAGGCCGTGCTCGTGTGGCTGGCAGCTCGTGACATAATTTGGAAGTCATTGTTCTGCACCTGGTGCCCTCCCCCTGCATCCTCCACCCCTCCCAGTCCTGTCCCCCAGCTTTTCACGGCCCATACACTTGGCAGTTGAAGGTGCTCCAGGCATCAGACAATCTATTTCAGGAGGCAGTGAATGGGCATCCCACGACATGTCAGGACACTGGCTGGCTCTGAACAAAATCCTCTGCCCCTAACACCAAAGCTACCAAGTGCCAAATGTCCACATCTGTACAAAGGGCTACCGGCACTGCCACTGTTGTCTAAAACAGAGTACCACAATGTGTAGAAATGGAAATTGCCTGTCAGCAATGCACAGTAAGGCAGACATGCAGCCAATGCAAATCCAGCAGGTGCTGGCAAAGACTGTGGATCACACAGAAAAGCACTGTCAGGAGACTGCCATTCCCTCTCAAGTAGCCCATGAAAGAAGGCACTTATCAGCACGGCGCCTGGCACTTAAAGGAAGCCCTCAACAAATGTGAACTGCTGCGATTTCATCACTGTCACTGTGTCCTCACAAGGCATGGTATAGACCAAGTACTTTCCAAACCTAAGACAATTCTCTGAGCTGACAGAATGAAAGCCCTGTCAAGTTACTGTTTTTGTTATTAAACTCTCTAATCCCAGAGAAAGAATGCAAAGGATTCAGTGTCCATTAGACCACAGCTTTTTTTTTTTTTTTTTTTTTGAGACAGAGTCTTGCTCTGTCGCCCAGGCTGGAGTGCAATGGTGCTATCTCAGCTCACTGCAACCTCTGCCTCCTGTGTTCAAGCCATTCTCCTGTCTCAGCCTCCCGATTAGCTGCGATAACAGGCGTGTGCCACCATGCCCAGCTAATTTTTGTATTTTTAGTAGAGACAGGGTTTCACCATGTTGGCCAGGCTGGTCTCAAACTGCTGACCTCAGGTGATCCACCTGCCTCGGCCTCCCAAAGCGCTGGAATTACAAGCTTGAGCCACCGCGCCCGGCTAAACCACAGATTCTATATCCTCCCCCCTAAAGAAAAATTCGTTCACACTCAGTAGAAAAAAAATTAATAAAAATATACATGTACAAATCAAATAAGGACTCAGCAACCTAAGTTCTAATTCACAAACAACCTCACGGTCTTGGACAACCACTCAATTTGGTTTCAATTTCTACAACTGTAGAACAGAGGAATGATCCCACCCTACCAAGTGAAAAAACAGAGACACTGTTCATGAAGGGGACTATCCACGTACGATCTGCTGACATTCTGCAGTCTCATTTCCATCAACGTGACAGAAGTCACTGCTTTTTCCTAAAGATGATACAAACGAAAGACGCCATGTTGATCTAGTTAAAACAATGATTCTAAAATATAAAACAGTGCTTATTCTAGTTCTTTTCCCCATAACAATCAAGGAAAATACCAATTTTGCCAAATTCACACTGAAAGTGAAAGAAAGGGTCAAGAAATGTAGGATTTTCTACCAAAAAGCTATCCTTCAGCTTCTTTTGACTCATAATGTTAGTTCACACTATGCATAAATGATTTGTTTATCTTCCAATCAAACATTCTATTTCTGCAATACTACAAAAATCCACCTAAACTAGACATCCTGGAGTCTGAAGGAGGAATGTGCCTACCACCTACTTCTTTGCCCTCCTAGGGACAGAGCCCCTCTACTAACTTAACAGTTTAAAAGTTGGGTTGGCTCCTCTTCTGTTTCATCTTTAGCTCCTACGCAGAGGAAAAAAAAAAACCTGAATTCAAACCGAACCTTCTCTGTGATGTCTTCCTTACCTTCTAAGCCTAGGGTGAAACTATCTCTCACACCCCAGTGCTAAAGCACTTCATGCACAAAGCACCCCCCTGGAGAGATCAAGCACAGTTGTTGAAGCTTCTTAAAAGCAAGAACCTAGCCGGGTGTGGTGGCTCACGCCTGTAATCCCACTTTGGGAGGGCAAGGCAAGAGGATCAGGAGTTCGAGACCAGCCTGGCCAACACAGTGAAACTCTGTCTCTACTAAAAATATAAAAATTAGCCGGGCATGATGGTACACACCCGTAGTCCCAGCTACTCACGAGGCTGAGGCAGGAGAAGTGCTTGAACCTGGGAGGTGGAGGCTGCAGTGAGTCAAGATCGCACCACTGCACTCTAGCCTGGGGAACAGAGCAAGACTGTCTCAAAAAAAAAAAAAAAAAAAAAAAAAGCAAGAACCCACCACAGGTCGCTGCACATGCAGGCACTAAGGAATGAATATGTGAATGAATGAATGTGATTTTTCTAAAGTACTGTGTTAAATTTCACAAACATTTAAGCAATAGTTAGCTCTTTATATGTACTCTGGTAATATTACTGATAATATTTTTCAAAATCTCAATATGTAATAAGTTCATTGTAAAAAAATATTTTTAAGTGCAGGTAATTATAAAGAAGAAAATAAAACATCACTTTTAGTCCCATCAATGTTAACATTGCACATTATTTCCTAAAAACTAATAACACAATTGAAGTTAAGTACGAGATAATGACTATGATCTTATAACACATTTTTTAGGTTATATGAAGGTACCATGGAATACAGGATAACAAAATCTTGCCATATAGCTTTCTCTTGCTATTGAAAGGAATCCCTCAATTATTCACTTAGGACTTAAGAATGTTTATATGTATATAGATATTATATTTCTACGTAGATTTTTTTCTTAAAGGCTAGGTGGAAATATAGTGTTCAAAACTACCAGAAAGCCTTTTAAGTCACTCTGAATTACTCATATATGAATTGTGTGAACTAACATTATGAGTCACGTAATACAGTCTAAGAATATATGTATTAGTTATCAACTGCTGATTAACAAGTTATCCTAAAATTCAGCTGATTAAAACAATAAACATTTATTACTCACACAGTTGCTAAGGATCAGGAATTCAAAAACAGCTTATCTGGGTGGCTCTGGCCCAGGGTTTTTCACGAGATAGTGTCAGCCAGGGCTGCAGTCACCTGATGGCTTTACTAGGGCTGCAGGATCTACTTTCAAGATGGCTCATCACATGGCTGGTTGAGCTGGTGCTGGCAGTCATCAGGAGGTCCTATGGACCTTGCCACAGAGCTGCTGGAGTATCCTCACAACATGGCAGCTCCAAAAGAGACAAAGTAGCAGCCAGTGGGCTTTTATGACCTAGTCTCAGAATTCACACTCCATCAATTCCACCATACCCTATGGTTACACAGGCTAGCCCTATTCAGTGTTGGAGGCCACCTACCACAATATAGTAAGGCAAGTTTTTGGAGAACCTGCACAAAAGGCTACCATATACATAGCCACCCAGTTTGCATCCTCTATCCAAGTGAGTCAAGAGATCAAGAGCATATAATTCTAACCATTCCCTCCGTTAAGTGAATAATAATTTTAATAATGTGATAACGCAGGCTGTGGTACCAGTGGTATGAAGAAGCAACTAAGAGAACCCAATGGATGAGTTCCTCTGTTTCAGTAAATAATCAAAGGCAACATCTGAGCTGGATAATGAACAGGAAGAAAAGACCACCAAGTATCATCATTAGTGGAATACTGACTGAAATGAATCAAGATCTCTTCCTCAACCAACATGACAGAAACATTCCAAAGCTGCCTTCATCAACCTAGGTTCTATAAGAAATTAAAGTCCTAATGCTCTAATATATGCTATTATAGGCAATGAGCTCTTAATCCTATGCATCTAGAAGACTGGCTATGTATCACCCTTGGGAGAACTAAAAAAAAAAAAAAAAAAAAAAAACAGTCTTTCAAATGATTTTCTGTAGAGCTAAATTCTTTCATAAAACCCTACATGAAAAACTGCAAAATGAGTTGAAAAATTGTTCACAGACATAAATAAAGCAAGATCCCAAATATTCCCACACACAGCTCCTAAAATAAATGGGAGAAACACAGTTGTGTATAAGAAAGTACCACACAGCTACAACAAAGGAGCCCATGGGAGAGAAGAAGAGATCATGACCCAAAAAGCTAACAGAGACCTGGCCATACCCATCCTATCCTGGCCAGAGCAGCATTCTTGTCCCAGGTAGTTTCTGTGAGGGTGAAATCAGCTATCATTCCAATTCACCAAAGTTGCTTCACAGTATTTCACAATACTCAAGGAAGGAAGGGAGAAAGAAAGCAACTTGGGAAGACAGGAGCCATCTAGTTCGCATCCTCCAGCCAAGAGAATGTCAAGAGATCAAGAGCATATAATTCTTACCGATTCCTCCCCCTCTTACTTGTTTAAGGCAGGATTTACAGGCTTGTTGTGATATGAAGTGTGTCGGGGGGAGGGAGGGGACGGGGGGGTTGTATGTGTATCTATCCAGAAACACTGGTGTGTATGAGCCCTCCATGGTTCACAATAGGGAGGGAATGTCTCAGTTCTATCTACGTCACGAGTGTGGCTACTCCACAAAGGAAAGGCTTATTCATGCCAACGTGGTAGATTACACAGAGGGCTGAAAACCTGTGTGCTCTTGAGACAAGGCAGCTTGTGCAGTTGTGGCAAGAAAAAAAAGTATTCCTCATAGCCAAAACCACAAAGCCAACTTATGTTCAGCAAGACTGCTATTATTCATCCTCTGAAGGACTAAAGAATAAGTAAATGCACTAAGCCACACCTTGAAAAGTCATGGCAGAGTGGCAAGCCACAGCTTGATGGAAGCATTACAAAAGAGAGTGGGAATCACGTGTGCTAATCTAAATCAACCCACCTCAGGACTGAGGACTTTCTATATTCCTCCGGCAGTGACCTCTTCAAAAATCCCACTTTCCCTAATAAAACCTTCCTAACAAACACCTCATAAACCATATGCTTAAAATAAGCATACATTCATTCTTAAGTGTGCTGCTTGCTGCATATGTGTGTGTCTTTGTATATGCATGTGCTTTGATGTATTTATCCCTATTACTCTTTTCACTTCAGATTTTAAGTCCTGGAAGACAGAAACCATGTCTAACTTATTTTACATTCTCCCAGAATCTAACCACAAGCCTCATGAGGTTGCAATAAGAAGCCTTATTTACTGCTGACACTAAATAGCTTTCAAAAGAAATTCATGGAAAACCATGTTTTCAAATGGGAGCCTTTCTGAAAGGGTCATAATCCACCTTAATTCCAACGTGTACATATTCAGTATTATTATGTACAGAGTCCCAAACGCATCACCAAAACTAACCTGCCTGTCTATAACCAGAAACAAAAAAGGGAAAACATTCTCAGAAGCCCATGAGATAATTATTAAAAGCCATACCCATCTTTTAAGGTTCGTGTTTAAAATCATGCCAGGCTGCTATCAACATGTATTGGAGCCTAACACACATCTAAACATCATTTCTTGCTATCTTGATTTCAAACATAACTTCATATTATAATTGGGAATTTAGTTTTTCTTTGCCTTTAAACCAAAGCAACACCTCATGATAAAACTATTTCATAGTTGCCAAGACACTAAAGTTGTAGGAGTCTCTTTTCCAGGGTAAAGAGCCCTAGTATTACAAAGCCCTGTACTGAAAAGGGATTAATGGGTTCACCATGTAGTTGGAGTCCCCATCATATTTCTTCTTCGAGGCTGTACTTCTAATGAGGAGACAAACACCTCAGTACCAGCAATCTGCCAGGATGCTTTCTTAGACACAAGTGCTCCTGGAGGGCACAGATGCTGGCACACAGCAGGTACTCTGCTTACAGACAATCAAACCAACTAATCGTATATGAAGACTCACTCATATTGTGTAAACAATCAAATATCAACTGTAAAATGTATAACCATTATTCAAATATTCATGACTATACCAAAATTATAAGGTAGACATCAAGAAGGCAGTCAGCCCCATAGAGAAATGTAGGTTTTCTGATAACATGGAAGATCATTCTATTTTCTACCAGCTACTGATGCCTGGTAACCAGCCAGCATCTCAGGTAGGAACAGCAACTTAGAAGAAAAAAAAGGCAAGTGTCACCTGACACTCCAGGGCTCACGGGCCAAGCCCTGCCATAGCAGATCCTACTGAGAACTACCTAGGCACATGACTGTCATGAGGGACCACAGGACCACTCCTCTTTGCTGGGCTCAGCTTTGCCTTAGTGAAAAAGCAGCCAGGAGTAAAAAGGCATCTACTTGCCAAAGTTATACATTGAATTAGGGGGACAAAAATGGAACAAAACTGTTTTCTTTGCTGAATTTTGAGTACACACCAACTGCACTGGAAATCACTTCATAGCTGAGAACCATGGAAGGTGAGAAGCATTTCTGACATGATCTAGAATTTCCAAGGCAGAAAATAACTTTTTTTTCTTTTTGAGACGGAGTCTCACTCTGTCGTCCAGGCTGGAGTGCAGTGGCACGATCTCAGCTCACTGCAACTCCGCCTCCCGGGTTCAAGTGATTCTCCTGCCTCAGCCTCCTGAGTAGCTGGGACTACAGGTGTGCACCACCATGCCCGGCTAATTTTTGTATTTTTAGTAGAGACGAGGTTTCACCACGTTGTCCAGGCTGGTCTCGAACTCCTGACCTCAGGTGATCCGCCCGCCTCAGCCTCCCAAAGTGCTGGGATTACAGGCATGGGCCACTGTGCCCGGCCAGAAAATAACTTTTATACACAGCTGCTTATGTTACAGAGAGAGAAACAGAGGAGCGGAAGGATAAAGAGACACATCCACGTCCCACTACAAGTCAGTGACTGAGCCAGGACTGAACTCCACAGCTCATCAATTCCCAGATTTGTGATCTTCCCTCTATGCCACATTGACGCTAAGAGCTAAATACACACACTTTAATACACAAAAATCTCACATAGTACTCATGAACCTATCGACTATAGAAACCCAAGTATTGATCTTATTTCCAATGGCTGTCACAGGGCTTAGCTTATACCAATGTCACCTCCTCTAAAACAAACTCATATTTAAGGAGCAAAGCTAGACAGACAGTATTATAGCCTGGGAAAGACCCTCGATGCTCCTCTAAAAAGCAACACCTCATCTAAACATGACAATTTGTAAAGCAACTTATTCTATCCTAGTTCCCATAATGCTGGTTAAAGAATGAAATACAAGGACACATTCATTAAGTGTAGGTCACTGAATGCAAGGAAAAACCAAATCATAAGATCAGTTAGCTGGGGCACTGCACACAGGTCTCCCTCAAATGGGATAAGTGAAACTCAGTTTCTCATGGTCTGTAAAAGCAAAGATGAACTCACAGAACCTTTGTGGATGTGAAAGTTGAAAGGAAATGTCTGAATTCAGAGGAAGATTAGCCATTCATTATGTCTATTTTGTGCTTCTTAATTGGCTTGTTCCATTTCTTTGAAGGAAAAAAAAAGTCTTACATTTATCCCTCAGTCTATAAAAGGGGAAATAAAAACTCGTAACTCCAAAACAAATCATGGTGCTCCAGTGTCTGACCTTAGCTAACAAGCTATGGCTGTCTTCTCAGTTGGCTGCCATAAAGCCTACCAGTAAAATGTCAAGTTTCCAAATGCCCCTTGCTCTTGGTGAAGGAATAAGCTAAAACAATGTGGAGACCAAATGCAACTGGCCTTGAGTTCAAATCCCCACTCCAAAACCAGATGAAGAACACTTATAACAGTGTAGTGTACTTATCTGCCACTGAACGACAATTTTTTGAACAGAAATAAAAGTATCTAAATAAAAAATAAATTTTCAACTTAATGAAAAGATTCATCTTCGCCAATAAGAAGGTACATTTGAAAACACGTATCAAATTTGTTCCCCAAAGGCACCCATCTCCCTTCTTCGGTTAGGAGATGGTTCTACTGTGTTATCTATCTGGCCACTGAAGTAAAAATCAGATGTTATAATAAAACAAGTTAGTCACCAGCATCTCTGAAACAAAAGTCCAAGAGAATTGGACATTTTCCCAATGAGAGTTTTCCCAAGGAAAAAACATCAACATACAATGGGAAACAACCCTCTGACAGAAATTCACTTTATTGTAACCACTCTCAGAATCACATGATCCATTGTGATGAGATGTACCCTGAATATAAGGGGCTCAGAAACAGCGGGGATCCACTTCCCCCGCTGTTTTCAGCAGAGTGGAAACAGCTGTCATACGACCCAACATCTGCATCCTCACCAGCACCCAGCCCTTATCACTGGAGCTCAGGACTCACCAAACTCATTTTCCTCCTAAAAGCTAACTAGAAAACAACTGTTTCTAGGCCCTCTTCACAGCTTTTTTTTCTTCATTATTTGCAGTTCTGGGATTTGCTGATAAAGTAACTATAGATTTTGATCTGCAGTATTCATGATTGGTCAGCAAATGCACAAAATTCCTATCTAATCTCCCACCTTGGAGCAGGCTTTCTGGGAGGATAAAGGAAGGAGGAGGGCTTGGAACCCTACTGAAGTTGAAGAAAACATAGAACCATTCTCAGTAAAGATCTTTTATTTCTACCACTTGTTAACACTGTTTAAATCCTACGCTGAAACTTACTATTGTCCAGAATTGAAATCTATATTGAGGACATTTTCTTGAGTTCTTGTTCCATTTCCAACTCAAAAAAAAAAAGGAAATTAAGAAAAGAAAAAGGGCTCATCCTTATGACTTCACAAAAAAAGAGAATATTATCTTACAAATTTCTGCCCATTTGAAAATGTAACTGTTTTTAAAACTTTACTTTGGAGTAAAAGCCAGTTTTTAAAACTGCACTCTAAAAGAAAAATTTTTGTGAAAAGCAGATGATTAAGAATGAAATCTTAAAATTCCTATGCCTGCCCATGCTCACAACATCGTTATAATAATTTTTTCATCCATAGAGGGCATCCCCAGAACAGAGGTCACTATTCTATTTAATGATTCTCTGTTAGAGAAAAACTGATGTGGTTAGTAAGGCGTGTGGAACTTAACTTCAATTACATCAGAGTCTAATGGTTTCACAAATACAATTCTTAGTGAACTGTCAATCTATTAAGGAAAAAGTATGGAGACTATCAGAGGGTGTCTACCAGAATGGAAGATCAAATTACCTACCTTGTGCAGAGGGAGGACAAGGAACGCTCCTCCCCCACTTGCCTCTATGATTATGGCAACAAATCTGGGATTGACAGCACAAAAGGAACTATCCCAGGTCACACGAGAAACCCGGATGTCATCATAGCACTGGTCATTTTTCACCGCTTGCCCAAATACATGCCGAAACTTGCTCTGTCGTACCACTCGCCTCATCGTGTCTGCAAAGGAAGAGTGAGAATTATGTTAGAATTATGCACCAAACTGAAAGCTTTACTTTTACAAATGAAATGCTCCAAGTAGGAAAAACAGAATGGTATGGCATTTTGTCTGCTCTCCTAAAAAGTAGCCAAATTGCAATCCAAATTTCTTTTAGCAGCACATACCCGGAGACAACTGCAAAATGCGTCAGGGAAAGAATTACAAAGAAATGAAAAATTCCTAATTCAAGATCCAGAAACAGCTCATCAGTTTTAATTTCAATGGAAAGATTAAGGGAAAGAATTAAAGAAAATTAGCCTTTCAGGGTTGGGTGGGAGCTGACAGATAATGTACTTCAACCCTTCCCCTTTTACAGATAAGAAAACTCCAAAGTGAAATTCTCTGGTAGAGGTGAGGCTGAAGAAAGCCGAAAAACAAGTTACGATTTTGTGGCTTTGTCCTCAGCCTGCCAAGGTAATTTTTCAGATTGTAAACATTTTCCCTAGACATCAACACTCTGCTGTCTGAGAATTGTGTCTATTCCCCAGAGTGTTTCAACAAGAATAGCTATGGGAGGAATTCAAAAGACACAGCCATCACCCTTGACTTCAAAAGCCTTCTAATCTCCTTCTAACACAGACGTAATAATCAGAGCAACTCACTACCAAACCGCCTAGTGCTAAGTGGTACACAGTGAGAAACAGGAAAAGTCAGCCTAAAGCAGCCTAACGGGTAAGAGCCAGGTCTGGGAAAAGCAGAGCAAAAGTATTTAAATGGAAAGCAATGTGATCAAAGTGATGTTTAGGATGACAGTAAATGTGGCAGGAGCACACTGGACAGCTTACACAGGAACAAGCTCAAAGCCAGGTACTGGGCTAGGAAGCTATTTGACAGTAAACCAGACTTGAGGAAGGCCTGGAGTGATACAGCAGTAACAGTTGGGACCTAGGAAAGGAAAAATGCAGGGGCTATTGTCGGGGGGAAACAAAACCAGGCTGGGTTTTCACTGAGCTGATCATCCACCACAGCCACTTCCCTAGTAAACCAGGGACTCTGAAGGGGAGGGGAGGTGACACAGAGCTAGGTTCCTAGGCTGTCTTATGTGTCATTTCAGACTCCAAATTCGACTAAATCATCTGATAGACACTGAAAGCTTTGTGCTTTCAGATCACCAGGCCCTCCCTGATTAAGATTTCCTAGACTGCACCCAATGTAATTTTCCTATGTGCTACTGCAGGACATTCTGTTCATGTTGGTTAGATAGAAGGAGCCTGGATAAAAATCTAAGTGGAAATGGAACATGGTTCAACATCGACAACTCAGCTGAAAATCAGATCCTCATATACAGAGGAGAGCTAACACCTGTCCACTCATGCCAGACGAGACACATGGTGGGCTGTTGCTAATTCCTTTCCTCTAATTCCCTTCCTCATGGCCCTGAGCCCACTGCTAAATGCAGAGAGACGAATTTATTTTTGCCAGAGTCTCTTACCCTTCCAACGCATGTGTGAAAGTGGCCTCTCTCCAATGCTGGGGGCATGTAGCCGGGCTGAAGTAAGAGACCCTTGGCAGGCAATTGAGCATCCACGTTCCTTAGCCCAGCTGTTATTGCCAGACTTTCCCAGCTGACTACCAGGGCCATACATTTTGAGTCTTTGGTAGAGGAGATGGCAAATGATTCGTGGCCAGGGTCCTTCATTTTGGAATCAATATGAATACTTCTCAAGCGTGAGTTAGATAAGACAGCTTCCATGAGGTGGTGAAAAGCAAAAGGAAAGCACATCTATACAAAAGCCAACGTACAGCCAGCTGGTCTTGGGCTCCACTTCCCCACACAACCATCTGCAACCATCTGTACAAGTTATAGAAGCTGCAATCCCTACCAGCATCTTCAAGCAAGTGTTTCAAAAGTAAGCTAATGTAGAAGAAAAAAGGATTGCACCATGTCAGAGTTAACATCCTTCATAAATAAAACGTTCTTACAAATTCATACAATTAAAACCCAACAGAAAATTAGACAAAGGATATGAAGAATTTACAAAAGAAACACAAACAGCACTTATCTCCACTCCTTCCTAAAATCCTAATAAAATGAAAGCAAAAAATAAAAGCAGGTAAAAACATGAAAGGACAAGAGGACTGGAAAAGAGGCTACAAGAGAGCAAATGTGACAATAAACTTTCGAAGATGGAAAGCTGTCATGCACGTGTAACTGACTGAAGTGTGAGTGTCCTCTACTCAGCTGAGTCTCAGGAGGAGCGCACAAAAAGGACATCAAGGCCCACTGTGAATCCCCAGAACACTCCAAGGAGAAACTGTGTGTCTCCAAAGACAGGGATGTGGGAGAGGGACTACAGAGAAAATGACTGAAAGCCTGAATTAGGAGCAGCTGGACACCCAGATCCCAGGGCTGCACAACCAGGGTACTGGCCTGCCCTCTCCCCAGCAGAAGCCAGGAGAGGCCTGACTATGGGCCTGGATGACACCCAGCACAGGTGTGAACAGATGCCTCACTGACAGCCTGGTTCTATACAGTGGGGCCTCCAGCCCCTTGTTCCTCCTGGCTCCCAAGATACCACCTGCCTTACCCCACAAGAGATCAGACATCACTGCCCTCAGTGAGGTCCACCATTCAATGTGCCCCTCCACTCACACAGGCATAAGGTCAGCTTTTAGAACCTCACTTTTAAATGTGAATGGATATTTGAGGAAGGCCTCTCACTTGAAAAAGAGAGACGATTTTTCCTCTTCACTCAAATAGGCCAGATACCATCTAACCTCATAAAAATAGGAAGATTAATATAAATATGTAAAATGCTTTGTCTTCATTGAAAGATACTATACAAATCTTCTGGCTGACATACATACTAAACTACCTTAAAAAGTGATTTCCACCAGGCGCAGTGGCTCACACCTGTAATCCCAGCACTTTGGGAAGCTGAGACGGATCACGAGGTCAGGCGATCAAGATCATCCTGGCCAACATGGTGAAACCCCATCTCTACTAAAAATACAAAAATTAGCCGGGTGTGGCGGCAGGCATCTGTAATCCCAGCTACTCGGGAGGCTGAGGGAAGAGAATTGCTTGAACCTGGTAGGCGGAGGCTTCAGTGAGCCAAGATCGCACCACTGCACTCCAGCCTGGGCGACATAGCAAGATTCCATCTCAAAAAAAAAAAAAAGTTATTTCCATATTATGCATACTTATTTTCATCCTAAATACATGTGGATAGAATGATATAGAAGTTCTTTTGCTACAATCACAGAGTAGAATGTTAGCTACAGGGCAGAGACAGTAAGAAAAGCCAGTGCTTCCGCAGTGCTGTGCTGAGTCAGGCATCTCTAAGCGGAGCTTGAAGGGCAGTGTGAGCCCATTCACTTCCAAGGTCAAATCTGATCTGGGCTCACCTGTGTACATGTGGCATAGCCGCTTTTCTTGCACAGAATGTCTCAGGCCCTCCAGGCACACAATAGAGTATAGCAATTAAGAGAGCAAACTCCAGAGTCAGACAGCCTCGTAAGTGAGAAGCACAGCTGTACTATTTACTTCCTGGCCGTGGTACAGTACAGCAAGTCACTAAGTCTCCATTAAGTGTAAAATTCTCTATCCAAAAATGGGTACAATGCATATAAAGTTGAAGTGATCATTAAATGATCAATTGGTGATGGGATGGTGGCAGGAGATTCTTATGCTATAATAGTACCTTGTATGGTTAAATACACAAAATTAATCACTCAATAAATACTAGCTACTATTGTCATCCTAGTAACTGACATAAGATAATTTGGATTCAAATCTGAGCTCTGCAACATATTAGCAAATTACTTAACCTCTCTGAGCCTCAGTTTCCCATTCACAAAATGAAGGGAATGATACCTGTAATAAGAATGTAGGCCGGGCATGGTGGCTCACGCCTGTAATCCCCACACTTTGGGAGGCCGAGGAAGGCAGATCACTTGAAGTCAGGAGTTCGAGACCAGCTTAGGCAACATGGTGAAACCCAGTCTCTACTAAAAATACAAAACTTAGCCAGGAGTCCCAGCTACTAGGGAGGCTGAGGCATAAGAATTGCTTGAACCTGGGAGGCAGAGGTCGCAGTGAGCCGAGATCACGCCACTGCACTCCAGCCTAGGTGACAGAGCAAGACCCTGTCTCAAAAAAAAAAAAAAAAAAAAAAAGAATGTAAACCAACCACAGACAAGAAAGCCCAGACCCAGATGACTTCACTGCTAAAGTCTATCAAACATTTAAAAAATACCAAGTACTCACAAAATTTTCCAAAGATAGAGAAGAAGGGAACACTTTCAAACTAATTGTATGAGGCCAGTATTATCCTGATACCAAAACCAAACAAAGACATCTCAAGAAAATTACAGACCAATATCTCTTATGAATACAGATGCAAAAAATCCTCAACAATACCAGCAAACGAAATCAAGCAACACAGAAAAAGAATTAGAATTATACACCACAATCAAGTGGGATTTATCCTAGGAATGCGAGGTTGGGTCAACATCTGAAAATCAATTAACGTAACACATTATATCAATAGAAGAAAAAAAAATCACACAATTATCTCAGACACAGAAAAAGCATTTGAGGCTGGGCATGGTGGCTCATGCCTGTAATCCCAACACTTTGGGAGGCTGAGGCAGGGGGATCACTTGAGGTCAGGAGTTCAAGACCAGCTTGCACAACATGGTGAAACCCCATCTCTACTAAAAATACAGAAGTTAGCCAGGCATGGTGGTGGGCACCTGTAATCCCAGCTACTCGGGAGGCAGAGGCAGGAGAATTGCTTGAACCCGGGAGATAGCAGTTGCAGTAAGCCGAGACAGTGCCACTGCACTCCAGTCTGGGCAACAGAGTGAGACTCTGAATCAAAAAAAAACAAAAAAAACAAAAAAAAAGCATTTGACAAAATTAAATACTCTTTCATGATAAAACACTCAAGAAACTAGGAATAGAAGGGAATTTCCTCAACCTGATAATGGGCATCCATGAAAATACCACAGCTAACTCAATATTCAATGGCGAAAGATGCCTTCTCCCTGAGATCAAGAATAAGATGAGCTTGTCCACCCTTGCCACTTCTATTCAGGATTGTAGTACAGGTTCTAGCCAAGGCAATTAGGCAAGAAAAAGGAGTAAGAGACATTCAGATTGGAAAGAAAGAAGTAAAACTATTTCTGTGTGCTGAAGACATGATCTTATATACAGAAAATCCCGAGGAATCCACTAAAAGAACCAGTAAGTTCAGTAAGGTTGCAGGATACAAGATTAATATATAAAAATCATTTTTTTTTTTAAGATGGAGTCTTGCTCTGTCACCCAGGGTGGAGCGCAGTGGTGCAATCTTGGCTCACTGCAACCTCCGCCTCCGGGGTTCAAGCGATTCTCCTGTCTCAGCCTCCCGAGTAGCCGGGACTACACTGCACCCAGCTAATTTTTGTATTTTTAGCAGAGACAGGGTTTCACTATGTTGGTCAGACTGGTCTCGAACTCTTGACCGCAGGTGATCCTCCTGTCTTGGCCTCACAAAGTGCTGGGATTACAGGTGTGAGCTACCATGCCTAGCCGTATTTTTATAAAATCATAACAAACAATCCAAAAGTGAAATTAAGAAAACAATTCCACTCACAATACATCAGAAATAAAATACTTAGAAATAAACTTAATCAAGGAGATGAAAGACTCATACTCTGAAAACTCAAAATACTGTTGAAAGAAATTAAAGACACAAATGAATGAAAAGAAATTCCACATTCAAAAATCAGAAGACTTAGCATTGAGATGGCAATATTCCCCAAACTAAGATATAGATTTAATGCAATCCCTATCAGACTCCCAGAAGAATTCTTTGTAGAAATGGATGAAGGGATTGATTGGAACTGCAAGGGATCCAAAAATACCCAAATGACCCTGGGGAGAAAAAAGAGAAAAAGTTAGGAAGACTCCTATTTCCTGATTTCAAAACTTACCTCACTACAAAGCAACAGTAATCAAGACTGTGTGGTACTGGAATAAGGACAGACATTTATATCAATGGAATATAATTAAAGTCCAGAAGTAAACTCATACATCTTTGGTCAACTGATTTTCAACAAGAGTGCCAAGACAATTCAGTGGAAAAACTCTTCTCAACAGATGGTACTGGGACAATACGTAAAATAGCTAACTCAAAATAGATCAAAGACCTAGACATAAGAGCTAAAACTATAAAACTCTGAGAAGAAAACATAGGAGTAAATCTTCACAGCCTTGGACTGGGCAAAGGATTCTAAGATATGACACCAAAAGCACAAGCAACAAAAGAAAAATTAGAAAAACTGGATTCCATCAAAATTTATAAACTTTATGCCTCAAAGGACACTATCAAGAAATCGAAGACAACTCATAGAATGGGAGAAAACTTTTGCAAACTTTATATCTGATAAGACACTTGTATCTAGAGTATAAAAAGAACTCCTACAATTCAATAATAAAAACATAGTCCAATTTAAAAATGAATCAAAGGGACTTGAATAGACATTTTCCAAAGAAGATGTACAAATGTCCAATACACATGAAAAGTTGCTGGACATCATTAATCAATGGAGAAATGAAAATCAAAACCACAATGAGAGACTATTCCATACCCACTAGGATGGCTAAAATAAAAAATTCTGAGAGTAACAAGGGTTGATGAGAATATAGACAAATCAGAACCCTCATACACTCCTGGTGGGAATGCAAAATGTTGCAGCTGATGTGGAAAAGTCTGAAAGTTCCTCAAACAATTAAACAAAGCATTATCATAAGACCCAGCAATCCACTCCTAGGTATACACTCATAAGAACTGAAAACAGGTAGTCAAACAAATACTTGTACATGAGTCTTCATGGAAGCATTATTTACAAGAGCCAAAGGGTAGAAGCAACCCAAATACAGACTATCCATTGTATCCAATGGATAAACAAAATGTGATATTACCTGTACAACAGAATATTATTCAGCAATAAAAAGGAATGAAGTACTAATACATGCTACAACTTGGATGAATCTTAAAAACATTATAAATGAAAGAAACCAGTCACAAAAATCGACATACTAATTTATATGAAAGTCCAGAATAGGCAAATCTAGAGAGACAGAAAGTAGATTCATGGTTGCTTAGAGTTTTTTTTTTTTTTTCTGAGATGGAGTCTTGCTCTGTTGCCCAGGCTGGAGTGCAATGGCTCAAACTCGGCTCACTGCAACCTCTGCCTCCCAGGTTCAAGCAATTCTCCTGCCTCAGCCTCCCAAGTAGCTGGGATTACAGGCGCCTGCCACCACGCCCAGCTAATTTCTGTATTTTTAGTAGAGACAGGGTTTCACCATGTTGGTCAAGCTGGTCTCAAACTCCTGACCTCAGGTGATCTGCCCACCTTGGCCTCCCAAAGTGCTGGGATTACGGGCGTGAGCCACCGTGCTCGGTCTATTTATTATTTTTTTAGAGACAGAGTCTCACTCTGCACTCAGTGTAGTGGTTCAATCATAGCTCATTGCAGCCTGAAACTCCTGAGCTCGAGCAATCCTCCCACCTCAGCCTCCCAAGTAGCTGGGACCACAAGCGTACGCCACCACACCAGGCTAATTTTTTTTTTGGTAGAGATGGGGGTCTAACCATGTTGCCCAGGCTGGTCTCTAACTAATTGCTGGCTTTAAGGAATATTTCCATCTCAGCCTTCCAAACTGCTTGGATTATAGGCATTAGCCACCATGCCTGGTGTGTTTCTTTTAAGGTAATGAAAATGTTCTAAAATTGACTGTGTTGATGGTTGCAGATTATTTGATTATATATATATACTATAAACCGCTGAACTGTACACTTTAAATGAGTGAATTGTCTAGTATGTGAATTATATCTCCAAACTGTTTTTTTAAAAAAACTATAAAGTACTCAGCATAGAATCTGAAGCATAGTACATACTGTCTAACAAATGTTGGCAATTATTATTTAAGAGCCCAGTAATAGCTTTTCCCTATCCAGGGAGAAAACCTAAGCAAGTCCCTACTGATTATGGGCTAAAAGTAGAATTTTCATATAAAAGAACCGGCACCACTTATCAAGGACTCTTTACAGAATTTTATGTTCTCCCATTTCAGCACGGTATTTCTGCAGTTTAATTTCTCTGCAAACAAAGGAAAAATTGGGAACTATCCCAAACACAAAAACTTCCTCTTCTTAAGAGAGCTGTCTGCATTGTCAAATGGTATTAGTGTTTTACCACTTTAAAAACTGTTCAGTTTTAACCTTTAAATTAAGATGGCATATCACCAAACTTAGGAGTTCTGTTATCAGCTATATTGTCCCAAACTGATCAAATCATAAATTAGATGACTAAAATGTCCCCCTAAAACTAAAGCATTTTATAAAGGGATCTAATTTTCTCAAAAAAGAAAAAAAAAGAGTAAATGAAAAAATCCTGAACTAACACAATAGGCACAAATTCCAAGGAAATACTAGGTATGATTTTAAATGTCCTGTCAGAGAGTGGTTCAACTTTGGAAAAACTGCTTGCTCATTAGGTCTTTCAAGTACAAGTTCTTAAAACTGCATAGGCTTTCCCTTGCTTGCAACAGTAAGATCATCTCAGTAATAAAGAGGAAGACGATGTAGCAGTAAGTTATTCACTAAGCAAATCAAAGGAATATTTACAAGTTTCAAAATAAACTTACTTTCAATGGGAGATAATGCAACAGAGTTTTTAACCTCTACAAAACATGGGAAATACAAACCTTACTTGTCTTTTTAAGATGTAATTTATCACTCTCCTCCTATTTTCCAATACAACAGCAACTATTCTAGAATGGTTTTTATTATAATAAAAATTGATACACCTTTGAGACAATGCAGGAATAGGTTGAGAACACAGGCTCAACTATGAGATGCTCTCTCTGGGCGTTGGTTGAAACCTCTATCTTAGAAACATGGACAGTTGTCTCCCTCACCAAGTTTTCCAGGTGATACTGAAGGCCAAAAAGGAGGATTACGGGCTGCTCTGCCTATGGAGTAATCATTCTTTTATTCCTTTACTTTCTTAATAAACTTGTTTTCACTTTAAAAAGAAAAAAAATGGATTACGGGACAGGTTTTGACTATCCAGCAACTGTCATAATAAATTTTTAATAAGGAGATAACACACTCCTCTTTTTATCTTCAAATAAAATGTAAAAGCTGATAACTAATATTCATAATACTTAACATCTAAGGAAACAAAAAAGTTAAAATTTTTCTTTTTTTTTTTCTTTTTTTTTGAGACAGAGTCTCGCTCTGTCACCAGGCTGGAGTGCAGTGGCACAATCTCGGCTCACTGCAACCTCCACCTCCCAGGTTCAACGATTCTCCTGCCTCAGCCTCCCGAGTAGCTGGGACAACAGGTGTGTGCCACCACACCCTGCTAATTTTTGTATTTTTAGTAGAGATGGGGTTTCGCCATGTTGGCCAAGATGGTCTCGATCTCTTCACCTCATGATCCGCCTGCCTCAGCCTTCCAAAATGCTGGGATTACAGGTGTGAGCCACCGCGCCTGGCCTAAAATTTTTCTTACATGTTGGGTGAATATTTTAACCAAGAACAAGTAAAAATAAGGTCTACCTCTATGGTTTAAAGGCTTTATGTGTCAGAGAAAATTTGTACTCTTGCAATAAAACCTTCATCTTATTAGTCAGGTGATAATCCTCAACCTCTAGGAGAGTGTAAAGGCATGCTTCTTATAATACTACCATGTGAAGTTAAATGTACAAAATTTACATGCCAGGCACAGTGGTTCATAGTTGTACTCCCAGCATTCTGGGAGGACAAGGCAGGAGGATGACTAGAGTCCAGGAGTTCGAGACCAGCCCAGGCAACATAGCGAGACCCCATATCTACAAAAAATAAAAAAAAATTAGCTGGGTGTGATGTTGTAGTATACCCCTGCGGTCCCAGCTACTCGGGGAGCTGAGGTGGGAGGACTGCTTGAACCCAGGAAATCAAGGCTGCAGTGGGCCATGATCATGCCACTGCACTCCAGCCTGGGTATCAGAGCAAGACCATGTCTCAAAACACAAAATACAAAAGAAAGAAAAGGGCCGGGCATGGTGGCTCACGCCTGTAATCCCAGCACTTTGGGAGGCCAAGACAAGTGGATCGCCTGAGGTCAGGAGTTCGAGACCAGACTGGCCAACATGGCAAAACCCCATGTCTACTAAAAATACAAAAATTAGCTGGGCTTGGTGGTACATGCCTGTAATCCCAGCTATTCGGGAGGCTAAGGTAGGAGAATTGCTTGAACTCGGGAGGCAGAGGTTGCAGTGAACCGAGATCGCGTCACTGCACTCCAGCTTGAGTGACAGAGCAAAACTCCGTCTCAAAAAAAAAAAAAAAAACTTATCTTATAAGCTACATAGGAAACATGTAGGGTGTTAGGAGGAAAAAATGCAGACAAGACAGGGTATTTATATTGCAACAGCACCAAATAAAATACACTCAAAACACCTGAGTAAATGTTACATTTTCTCTATTCTACTTCCATCTCATAAAAAATGACAATTTTGACATTTTTCCTGTTTATTGAAAAGCTATCTGTTTAAAGATTCCAGCAGATGTACTTCTATGGTTCATATGAAAGGAAACACATCCTGCTAGGAACACATACAGGAAAACCCCTACTAGTAGCAAAATCCTGCTCAGCCCATTTGCTGAGACCATTCCAGGGCGTCGATTACTCAAGCGTTCAGTGGGCAGAGAATGCTCCCTCAGCCAGTGGCAACCACAAGACTCTAAAATGTCCCATTAGAGGAAAGACCATGTTTCCTCCAAGCCACTGTTACCTGTATGGCAGGTACTTTAATGTAGAAGAGATCCGATGTGTTATTCAATAGAAAAAGGCAGGTAAGACAGCAGATGAGGAGACAAATATCCTAAACTCAGTTATTTAAATGACAATGCCAACAGTAAAAAATTCCTTTTAAGAAGATGGAGGCCGGGCAGGGCGGCTCACACCTGTAAATCCTAGCACTTTAGGCAACTGAGACAGGTGGATTGCCCGAACTCAGGAATTCGAGACCAGCCTGGCCAACATGGTGAAACTCCATCTCTAGTAAAATACAAAAAATCAGGTGGGCGTGGTTGCAGGTGCCTGTAATCCCAGCTACTCAGGAGGCTGAGGCACGAGAATTGCTTGAACCCAGGAGGTGGAGGTTGCAGTGAGCCAGGATTGTGCCACTACACCCCAGCCTGAACAACAAGCGAAACTGTCTCAAAAAAAAAAAAAAAAAAAAAAGGAAGTGGGAAATGTAATAATATATAAGCCTACATAGAATACACATTCACGAGAGAGCAGACACCCAAAGCAAATATAGGAGGTACTCTGATTAAATATAAAAATTTGGCCGGGCACGTTGGCTCACGCCTGCAATCTCAGCATTTTGGGAGGCTGAGGTGGGAAGATAGCTTAAGGCCAGGGGTTCAAGACCAGCCTGGATAACATAATGAGGCACTGTCTCTAAGAAGGCTGATGCAGGAAGACTGCTTGAGCCCAGGAGTTTGAGGCTGCAGTATGCTATGATCATGCCACTGCACTCTAGCAAGATCATGTCTCTTTAAAAAAAAAAAAAAAAAAAAATCATCATTTCCGAATATGAGATAGCTGAGCTTTTTCAAATTTTCTAAATTAAATCCAGCAGTGACACTCAAAGAAAGAATTTACCTAACGAATTGCATATTTCTACTGCATGCAACTCTTTAACAGATTCATACATGAGACATTCCAAGAAAAAAAAACATGCCTTACCTATTTTAATAGAAGCTGTTTTTAAAAGAGGAAGAAAAAAGACCACATGCAACATTTGCTATAAAGCACAGCAAAATGTCAGATACACAACAGATCTCCTCATACACAGCAGTTTTGGCTGAAAGAGATTTGTATTCCACTGCTGATATGGACTTGTTGAAAAAAATGTTTTTTCTAGAAAAACTATTGACCACTTAGCATGGCCGACTGACTGCAAGTATGAATAGCCTTGATGTTGGTTCAATTGATTATAACACCAGGAATGGTAAAAATTAAGGGAAAAAAATTCACATGTATTACATAGCCTTCCAAATAGTTTCATCCCATCATTATTAATCCAGGTAACAGGTAAGATGCCAAGAATGAGGCATACCAGTAAAAATGCATTTTGTTTCAATTCAATAACTCAATATCATTTAGTTTTTAAAGTTTCTAAGAATAAAGAGAAAATGCAAATAAGATCTACCAAGAAGCCTCCAGGCTCGGGCCTCACAGAGCTAGGCCTGGAGAGAGTTCCAAAGCTCATCAATTCCAGGCCCGTCACGTTTCAGCCTGAAGACGTATAACTCCTCCAAAGATAAAGAACTTCTGAGAAAGATGCAGTGACCTTGAACTACAAAGTACGGAGCAGTTCCAACTTTTCAGCCCATGAACTGTCATACTTTTCCAACAATCAATCCCGAATCATATATACAATTCAGTTTCTCCACATCAGCCAACAATGGCACTTAGAGCTCTGTCCTGTGGGTGCTGCTTTGACAGCCCCCAGTCCAGTTGGCCAGTTTGTGTAACACTTTAAATGTGAAACTGCACTTTGCCTACACTTTATAAATATGAGTAAAAATGGAAAAATCAAAATACAGAAACCAGCTGTAGGCATTCAAATGTACTGAGACAAACAAGAGGGTATCTGTTATGACCAAGGAAGCAAATCTTACTTCTCACTGAAAATCCTTAGCTTAGCCAGAGGACTATGTGCTCAGTTGTCCAAGAAAAGAACAACCTGGGCCGGGCACAGTGGCTCACACCTATAATCCCAGCACTTTGGGAGGCCGAGGTGGGCGGATCACGAAGTCAAGGGATTGAAACCATCCTGGCCAACATAGTGAAACCCCATCTCTACTAAAAATACAAAAATTAGCAGGGCGTGGTGGCGCACAACTGTAGTCCCAGCTACTCGGGAGGCTGAGGCAGGAGAATTGCTTGAACCCGGGAGGCAGATGTTGCAGTGAGCCAAGATCGCGCCACTGCACTCCTCCAGCCTGCAGCCTGGCAACAGAGCGAGAGTCAGTCTCAAAAAAAAAAAAAAAAAAGAGGAACAACCTGAAAGAGCATGCATAAAACACTAGAAACACACACACACACCCCAAGGATAGTATCTAAAAGGTGAGACATTACAGGTGCGGTGGTTCACACCTGTATTCCCAGCACTTTGGGAGGCTGAGCTCAGGAGTTGGAGACCAGCCTGGGCAACATGGCAAAACTCCATCTCTACCAAAAATACAAAAAATTAGCCGGGCATGATGGCGCATGCCTGTGGTCCCAGCTACTCAGGAGGCTGAGGGCAGGAGGATTGCTTGAGCCCAGGAGGCAGAGGTTGCAGTAAGCCAAGATCACGACACTGCACTCCAGCCTGGGGGACACAGTGATACCCAAAAAAAATAAAAATAAAAATAAAAGGTGAGGTATAATAAAGAGGTATCATACTTTTTAAAGTTTTCAAAGAAGAGCACTCGTATATTTACATTTTATAATCTATACTCATTTTAGGAACTTCTTACAAAGAGACTTGGTTGGGGACCACCTAAAGTCAAACCTAAGCACTCACTGGCAATGTGAAGCAGAAAGCAGTGAGCGCATTGCAGAGCGTAATGTGACGCTATGAAAATGACTGCCGAAAATCAAGTCTGACAAGAAGTAAAATGAGCAGCAAAACAGTAACACATAATGAACCTGAAGACAAAAGATAAAATTCCTAAAACTGGGCTGGGTGTGGTGGTTCATACCAGTAATCCCAGCACTTTGGGAGGCTGAAGCAGGAAGATCCCTTGAGCCCAGGAGTCTGAGGCTGCACTGAGCTATTATTGCACCACTGAACTTGATACCAAAAGACAAAGCGAAACTGTGTCTCTTAAAAAAACAAAACAAAACAAAACAAAACTGTAATTCCCTCACATCTTATTAAAGAGAGACCCTTTTATGAACTAAAAGATGCCATAATGAGGCCTGTAACTCACTTAAAATATAATAGAAATGACACTACAGAAATTTTGCAGTTACTAAAATGTGAGAATATATAAGGACTTCGAAATCATCTCTAGCTCTTCAATGACAGAAATATATATTTCTATTACAGAGATAATGTGCAAGGATGACATGTTTACAACCCTCCACATCTCCCAATTTTCTGCTTATCACCAGCATCTTTATAAACACAACCACCTCTTTTGGTCCCTGGAGCTTTGAAAAAGCATTGCTGAAGAAACGTCCCTTGGGAAGACAAAGGCAGGCGCTACCTGACCCGCCTCCTCCCTCCCCCCCTCCCCCCCGCATACTCACAACACTGGCAGCAGCCATCTCCCTAAAGTGCACCACAGGAGACCAGACTCAGAAGCTTAATTCTGTGTCTCTCTTCAAAGAGCAGAACACAACTCAAAGAGCCAAATTAATCCCAAGAGGTCTCACACCAACCGCAAAACTTTTATAGACATGAGTGACCTAGCAATCTCACTTAAAAATTAATCCTTGAGGCCGGGCGGGGTGGCTCACACCTGTAATCCCAGCACTTTGGGAGGCCGAGGCGGGTGGATCACAAGGTCAGGAAATGAGACCATCCTGGCTAACACGGTGAAACCCCGTCTCTACTAAAAATGCAAAAATTGGCCAGGCGTGGTGGCACGCGCCTGTAATCCCAGCTACTCGGGAGGCTGAGGCAGGAGAATCGCTTGAACCCGGAAGTCGGAGGTTGCAGTGAGCCAAGATCGCCACTGCACTCCAGCTTGGCAATAGAACGAGACTCTGTCGCAAAAAAAAAAAAAAAAAAAAAAAAAAAAAAATCCTTGAATATGTTTCTAAACATTCTTTCTATATTGATGACCTACTTTTCTTATCAACAACTGGTAAAAAACACACTGTGTATGACAGTTCAAACTTGTTAAGTCTGTTTTTCACTACTTAGTCATATGGAGTAGACAATAAAATTTTATTAATTATTTGGCAATACTGTTATACCAGGAAATGAAATTACTGGATGCTCATATCTTAAAAAGGGATGGGGGATATTTTTATTAATAACTTCATAAGGCTAGTCACAGGCAAAACTAGCAGTGTCAAAAAACAAAATAATCACCTTCACCTGAAGAATTTCAGCCTTCCCTTTTTAACCCATACCTTGGGCAAGCGGAGATTAAATGGATTAAATGAACATGTACTCCTGACAGTGTTTCAAAGGAACATTAAGGAAGAGTAGGAAAATCTCTGGCTTGGATGTCAGACACAAATTTATCTTGACATAATTACCTACCCAGCTAGATCATTTTGGTCCTCTGGTTGTTTGTTTCTTCATCTATAAAATGGAAGAACTAAAATAAATGATTTCTAGGGTCCTATCAGAGTCTACAGGAAATCCTTCTTTCACTGGGATACAGTCCACATCCCCCCCAGTAAAACAGACACAACTCACTGCAAACCACATTACTTACTAACATCCACAGGGTTATACGTATTACATATATACTCAACTATGAATGTTGAATAGGTCCTTAATCCCAGTCATTCTTTTGTTCAACAACTATTCACTCGGCTTTGACCATGCGCCTAGCACCATGCTAGACATGAGAGACACAACTGTGAGCAAGCAGACCTGGCCCCTGCTCTCATGGAGCTTACAGTCCACTGCAGGAGACACAACACAATCAGATATTCGTGCAAACATTAGCATGCCGCTGTGGCAAGTGCTGGAATGCAGAAGAACACAAGGTAACTGAGTCAATAATCGGGGAACAGAAGCAGTCAGAGAAGCGACACTTAAGCTGAAATCAAAGAATGAGAAGTCAACTGGGCAATAAGAGAAGAAAAGTGAGTCCCAGCTGGGAGGAACAACAAAATATCAAAAGTCTGTATCAAAAGCAAGCACTTGTCAGAATCTGGACTACTTAGCCCACAGAGGCTGGAGCCCAGAGAGCAAGGGTAGAAGAGGCTGCGAGGTCAGCAGAACCCGGATCACAGAGGGCTTTCTAGGCCATGTTAAGGATTTTATCTGTACTTGCAGTCTTGGGAGCCATAGGAAATTTTTTAAGTATGAGTATGTGACATAATTAGATTTGCATTTTAAAAGCTCACGCTGAATGAAGCTGGAGAATGGATCTGCACGTGGGAGCATCTGAAAGGATTCAGGGAAGCTAGTTAGGAAGTCACGGCACTTGTTGTCCAGGCCACAAGTCACAGTCCCAGTAGAAACAGAGATGATGGAGCCAAAAGACTTGAAGTCAACTGAATTTAAAACTGTTTTAGATATGAAGGGTGCATCAACAGTGATGCCTAATTTGACTCATGCAACCAGATGGTTGGGGGTGCCTTCCCACCTTCTCTTTGGTGTGGAGACTTACTTACTACCTCTTAGTAGTAGCTTCAAAGAGCCTTCTGTTGACAAGTAAGGTATCTGAAAAGAGTAAAACCATGGGAAAAATACTTTAAAATTTATTTTTTAAAACATAATTACCTTTCCACATTAATAATTGGATCCATGGCTTTAAAATTATGTACTTTTGCTCGCAAAAGTGTCTGGAGCTTGAAGAAAAACGTATTGAGCATGCTATTTGAAAATGAAAACTAGGCCGGGCACAATGGCTCACACCTGTAATCCCAGCACTTTGGGAGGCCAAGGCGGGTGGATCACCTGAGGTAAGGAGTTCAAGACCAGTCTGGCCAATATTGTGAAACCCCATCTCTATTAAAAATACAAAAATTAGGTCAGGCCTGGTGGCTCACGCCTGTAATCCCAGTACTTTGGGAGGCCAAGGCGGGCAGATCACAAGGTCAGGAGATTGAGACCACCCTGGCTAACACGTTAAAACCCCATCTCTACTAAAAATATAAAAAATTAGCCAGGCGTGGCAGTGGGTGCCTGTAGTCCCAGCTACTCGGGAGGCTGAGGCAGGAGAATGGCATGAACCCAGGAGGCATGAACCTGGGAGGCGGAGCTTGCAGTGAGCTGAAATCGCACTACTGCACTCCAGCCTGGGCGACAAGAGTGAGACTCCGTCTCGAAAAAAAAAAAAAAATACAAAAATTAGTGGGGTGTGGTGGCACATGCCTGTAATCCCAGCTACTCAGGAGGCTGAGGCAGGAGAATCACTTGAACCCGGGAGGCAGAGGTTGCAGTGAGCAGAGATCATGCCACTGTACTCCAGCCTGGGCAACAGAGCAAGACTCCACCTCAAAAACAAAAAGAAAGAAAGAAAAGAAAAGAAAATGAAAACTAACACTGTTTAAAATAAAAATCTCCCTATGTTTCTGGAATTTTCAGACATCCTATAGAAATAGGAAAGTATAGCGCTTACAATCTTACTGCACCTTAGGAAAAATAATTTTGTCTGCCTGATCCCTTTTGGTAAAATTAAAAATATTTCCTTATCAGCATATGCATCTTCTAAAGCGAAGGAAAAAACAAAACAAAACACTCAATATCAGTATCTATAATAGAGTACAAGAAACTAAGAATTTAACTCACTGGAGATAATGTAGTTACTACCAAATACTTTACCACCATTCAATACCTTTAGAAGAAGGTCTCAGGCTCTTCAGGAAGAAAACAGCACACATTCAATTTCACCAATAAAATGAAAATATCTCTAGGGAAGTGAAGACAAATAAACACGGCCCACTTTCAGAAGGAAACATTTGGGCTAAATATTCTAAGAGCAAATACTCTACTACAAAAAGCTTTTATCAGCTGTAGCTGGTAAAACTGTAGCCCTAACTCTCCCAAATCCATTTTCCTTCCAAACTGTATCAAGACTTGAAAATTATAATCTTTAATTCTCTATGCTAAATTAATTGGACATCACAATAGTAACTAAAGAGAAATTATCTATTCCTTATGAAAGTAGGACAAATAATTTTAAGTAGAAGGCCAGCAAAAAGATCCAGGGGCTTCCTATCCCTAATACTTTTTTAAACAACTACATTTATGGTTTATGGTACCCTCAAAAAACTACCAGAAATAACACACACACGTATACACACAAATGCAATTACAAAATAATTCATTTTTTGTGACCACTTATCGTGAATACAATATAAACCAAAGTCTACAGTTTTTCAGACTTTAGTATGTATAAATGAACTCCTAAGCGATTAGATCATTTTAACAGTTGTAGTGGTGCACAATTCACCCTATCTTAACTTACTCGGTCCTTGTCAAATTCTCAAGTCAAACGAATTCTCAAATACATTAAATCCTTGGGGCTCCAGGAGTCACTCAAATGCCCTAAGGCCTGCCCTATGATTTCTCTGGTGCTGGGCAGGGCACACCTAGAGGTCCACTGCAGACAAACCTCCACCTTCACCTCCTCCTTCAGGGAGAACATAAGGCTATTTAATGACAATAGCGCATTAAAGGATGAGAAACTCAAAAAGAGAAAGATAGTGAAGGAAAACAGCTTTTTCAATGGCTACCTTAACTTTAAATCCCCTTGACAGAAATTATGGTTCTTGCCATATCTATCTTCATTGTTAAATGAAAGCATGCTTCCATTGGGATGTTACTTCATTGACTCTAAAGTCAAACTTGCTAACCAGGCCAGGCACAGTGGCTCACGCCTATAATCCCAGCACTTTGGGAGGCTGAGGCGAGAGGATCACTTGAGCCCAAGAGTTGGAAACCAGCCTGAGCAACACAGTGAGACCCCGTCTCTACAAAAATATTAAAACATTAGCCAGGCATAGTGGCGTATGCCTGTAATCCCAGCTACTCGAGAGGCTGAGGTGGGAGGATCACTTGAGCCTGGGAGGGCGACGCTGCATTGAGCCTCAATCACACCACTGCACTCCAGCCTGGGTGACAGAGCAAGACCCTGTCTCAAACACTCATACAGACACACACACACGCACACACAAACTTGCTAACCAGAGCTATAAAATACAGCCATAAGAAACCCATGCTGCCAATAGTTTTAATTTATTCAAGAAATCAATTAAGTTAATTTGTGATGAGTACCAAAATGTTGTGTTATCCTGCTTTTTATCAGAACATATGCTTTAAATAATCAAAACCCCAAAATTTGCTTTACAAATAAAGCATGTTTCAATAAAGGAATGTGTATGTATATCTGTGTGTGTAAATTTACACATATAAACATCTTGCTAACATATTTATTTACAATAAAAATTACGAAGTTAGTTTATAATAACATAATAAGAATTTTTTTTTTTTATTTGAGATGGAGTCTCTCTTTGTTGCCCAGGCTGGAGTGCAGTGGTGCGATCTCAGTTCACTGCAAGCTCTGTCTCCGAGTTCATGCCATTTTCCTGCCCTCAGCCTCCTGAGTAGCTGGGACTACAGGCGCCCGCCACCACGCCCGGCTAATTTTTTGTATTTTTAGTAGAGATGGGGTTTCACCATGTTAGCCAGGATGGTCTCGACATCCTGACCTCGTGATCCACCCGCCTCAGCCTCCTAAAGTGCTGGGATTACAGGCATGAGCCACCGCACCCGGCAAATATTTACAATTAGTAGTCCTAGGCCATAGAAAACATCTTTATTCCTTTCATCTTCTAGGAAAATGGAAAGACTGACAATATCACAAGTGTATCATGCAAAGTTGAAATTCAATTACTCAATTAACATTTATTGAACAGCTACTATGCACCAGGCAATATGCTAGGAAATGGAGGCACCAAAAAATGTAAGATATCCTCTACCTTTAAGGAACATGGAATATAGCAGTATTATAAGGTGTTCACTTTCACAAACTGTAAAATAATTCTGTACTCAATCTCTAGTCATTTAATCCCAGATGTAATTAGTATTAGCATAGAAATCACTAACACTAGTGACACCCACAAATTACACTTTCACCTACCTTTATAACTCCATAACCAAACTATATTTACATTTTACTCTAACATATTGTATAAATGCATAACCTATTATCATCACTTTCCATAATCAGGGCCATCTCATCTACCCATCTTACACTACTCTTCCCTAATTACACCAGTTCTGAGTCAGCCCAGTACTATTAGGCACACCCTCAGGCAGGATCTCACTCCCAGTGTCCCACAAACACTGACTCTCCAACGCCTGTCTCCTGAATTCCCACAGAGCTCACAGTCTATACTGCAGAATTCACCATCAAAGAGTCATGTGCTTGAGGGCTGGAGGAGGCTTGTAATGTATTTTTTAAACTTTTACATAATTTAAAAGTAAATCAAAACATTAAGCTTGCCATAAGACTTTGTGAATACGAATTTTTTAAATGATACCAGAAAAATCAAGTCCCTAATATATTTTGCATCATAAAATGTTTGAATGAAAAGAGTTCTTTGAAACCAGTAGTTCAAACCCTTCACAGAGGCACTAACAGAATGGAGAGGTCAATAATTTCCCACTGTTTGATGAAAAAAGTGACTTTTTGATAAGTTTATAAAAGAATAGAAAAATAGACAGGACGAGTGCCCAGCTCTGGCCATTATAAGATGCCCCAATTTACAATCACTACCATGCCCTGATCAACTTTCCAAAGGTCACAGAAACCAAGCCACTTCGCCAAAACCTAAGACCCTTTCAAGCTGTGAAGTTCCCAAATGGAAAAGAAAAAAAAAAGATCAGAAAGTATTTTGAAAAAAATTTAGCAGAGTCACTGTTTTGGAGTGACAGGAAGAACCTTTCTAAAGCAGGCATGGTTTCTTCCTGATTCCAGGTATCAGGACTAGCCTCCTTACGTGGGGTCTGCCTGACTTCACATGCCTCTGCTCAACTTTCCCCTTGAAACCTTGCTGTAATGACTGAATGCAAACATTTCAAAGAGACAATCTGTTTATCAGTAAGGAACCTCCTCTTTAAAAATATTAACATTGTACACCTCTAAAAGGGTTAAAGAACATGAGTGAAATGACATGAATAAAGCCTGTAGTCATCCCAACCCTGAATAACAGCGGTAGTCTAGCAGGGAAATGAATTTGAACCATGTGCTTTGCTACCATGATTTAAAGAAAGTGAGCTTAACCAGGGAAGTAGAAGCTTCAAATTAAGAGAGAGATGAAGGAGGATGAAGAACAAGGAGGGCCAGCACAGACCTGGAGGGCTGCAGTGGCATGAGACCCCTGGACGCCACACAGCCTGCACAGGGAGGCTCCTGGGGCATGGGGCATGAGTCCTTACTTCTCTTTCACATGACTACCAGCTCCCAAGATCCAGAATTCCACTATCACCATAAACAATTTCAAAAACTGCTGTGAATTAAACAGATTCCTTCAGTCTAGGCTGGGAACGTACCCACCACTTACAATGCTGAATCAACACAATAGATAGAAATTACTACTAGTAGATCTGAGTTCCAAATAACTGAGTTAGACTCTGGAACACAACCCAGTCTTGAGTTGGGGACCAAATGTACACACTGCCTGCCTCCAAAACAGAAATTTCATCTGGGCTCTTGCTCATTCACTTTCAGAGAAACACACAGTTCATAACCATCCTTTGAAGGTATGATATGTTATTTGTTCTACTTGATAAAAGTAATTCAGTCCACTGCACTCAAGACACTGTCATAATGCATAAAAAGATCAAACTAGCAGTCTTAGGGAGAAAAAAGAAGACTTCCAACTTATCTTTTCCTACAGTAGCACTGTAAAGCAACAGTGGCCCACAGAAGAGAGAGCCTAAAGGACAGTTACTCTATTTCTAAAACAGACAACGTGCATCTTATTAAATATCACCCCCAAAGAACTGTGGCCAGCCCTCATTGGCTCCAGCCTCTCTCTTGCTTGCCAAGAAAAACTAGGATGACATTGTTAAGCTAAAGATACTACTAACCACAAAATTAATTCACCATCTAGCTTCCAAAGTGACTAGTTTCCTAATAAATCCCTCTGCTTAACAGAGATGACAGCGCACTTTCACGTGTGTTCCTCAGTCCCCACTCCAGCCACATTTGAGTTTTTATGTTAATAAATCAGTCAATTCTTTAAGTTCCTAAGAATGAAAGGAATTAGAATCTTTAACTAGGAAAGAATGCTTGACCATTACGAAAAGGAATTTAAGTATCTTTCCTGTGAAGTAAGCAAATAATGGTGATTAAACATTTGTCATAAGGAAGGGATGCTTGTGAATTTTGTCATGCACCCCTATGATATCAAAAGTAGAAAATACAGCCTGACGGCTTCACTCTCCTAACACTTCCTTTCCCATGTGTGTCTACTATGGTCTCTCATGAAAAATCTACAGCTTTGTTCATCCAGAATGAAGGCCTCAGCAGTTGTTGAGACATGGGGACCCACACCCAGTTCCACAATGGAGCAAGAAAGTCTCTTACACCAAACCACCATGTGACCAGACTTGCAGTCTGTCTTGGTTTCCCAAAGACAGAACAACCACATTGTGAAACAATAATCAACCTTTGCTAATCCTAAGTGGTTTTCATTATGTCTGTTACAATCTATATATTAATAGTTCAGTACTGGGCCTGTGTTGTTCCTGTCTAAACTTGGTGTTTTCAAATACAGACGGCCTACTAATGCCAATTTTTCTGGCAAGATGCAATGCAAGGGCACCTTTGCAATAATAATCGGTCTTCCAAATACAAGACAAATCTTTAAAACCACTGCTTACTAGTGCTCAGATTATAAGACTGAGGAAATTTAAAAGGATCAATAAAATACTGTCAAGGAGCTTTACATTAAAAATAGAAATCAAGTTTACCAAAGGTTTATCCAAGAGATATCATGTATTTTCAAGTTTCCTAAAAATGCATCTAAAAATCCTCCTAAAAACCTGGACCAAACTTCACAGTTTAATACATGCACAACCTGAATATGTGGGAAAAAGCAACAACAACAACAACATAGGTACATGCTACCAACTGTGGTGATTAACTGAAGAAAACTCCGTGAATAGGCTTGGTTTGCAGATCTGGCAAAAGAGCATGACGAAAGGCTAAGCAAATGGAACTGCTGCACTGGGTCAAAGACTACAAAGGGAAAGCCATGTCAGGTTCACATTGTTAAATAAAAAATCCACACTATACTATAAATTCACACAACTAACTATAAAAATTAATTCATACCACACAAAGGAAGGGGCAGTTAAGTTCCTGATCTTGGGTAAATCTGTCAAGCTCCTGCCACCAAAGTCTCCTCATCTGTAAAATGAGGAATAGACCAGCCCACAGTGCTTCCTGTTCTGGCTGTGATTCAGAGTCACCAGGGAACTCACACCCAGGCAGCTGGATTCATATAGGTCCACAGATGATCATCACAAGGCAGTCAAGAATGAGGACCTCTGTACCTGAGCAATAATCTCCCAAATCTCCCAAAATAATATATCCTTTAAAAGATGGTGAGATACTGGTGCCAAATATAATCCATTATTCATAAATTTTTAAGAAGAAATGTAGATCATTGCCTGACCAAAGGGGAAAAAATATAACTGCCTTCCACATACAATGTATAGGCCTTCCTACTCCCATTTATAGTCTCTCTCACTCTGACCTTTGCATTATATTAATTACTCATTACTGCAGCAAACGGGAGGAACTGTATTTTTGTTATTAATGTAAGATCCAAATGACAGGCCTAATTTAACATACCATAAAACTATAGAGGCTCTTTTCCCACACAGGATGTTACACTTTATCACACTGTAACCAGAAGAGTTATCTCAAGCACTGCAGTGCAATCTCCTTCAAATCCTAAAAAAATCCATCTTTTGCCAGGAACTTTCCTTAAAATGGACAGACAGACACACAGACAGAGAGACTGAATACACAGACCTGAATAGAGAAGACTGTCTGAATAGACATTTCCAATTCAGACAGATGCAAAAACACTGGAGGTGTTTTTAAGACCGCCTTCCCATCCTAAAATTAGACATTTTTTGCCCTCTTCAGTGACTCAACTTTGATTCAAAGTCTAAAATCCTCAGGTGGGAGTAGGAATCCATACCCTTAATAGCTTAATGTCAGATGTAAAATGTATTAAACTTACTCTATTTGCTTCTCTGCAGTTCCATTCATTAACAGACATTTAAGAGAGAAGAGAGGGAACAGGAATGTATTCAGTACCTACTCTGTATTAGGCACTTCATATAATTTTCCTTGCTTAATCTTGCCAATGACCCTGCAAGGTAAGCCTTTTGCATCTCCACACTACAGAGGAGGAAAGTGAAGCTCAGGGAGGTGAGGGAGCTGGCAAAGTCACAGCTAGCAAGAAGCGGAGCCAAGAGTGAAGCCCAGCTCTATCTGGCCCTAAAGGCCTGCACCCTCACGGCCTCAGTTCCCCTAAATACAAAACTCTCTTAGAACGAGAACTACAGAAGGTACCCATAGCTCACTGTCCCTAACTAGACAAAAAAGTTGACATTTTTCTTTCTCTTCTGTACTACCTTGCCACAATCCAAGCTTTAACGAACACACAAAGAAAAGGTATCCCGAAATGGCCAACTGGTTTCTCCTAATTCTCAGAAAGGTGCTAAGTGAATTTATTTATTTATTTATTTATTTTTTTGAGACGGATTCTTTCTCTGCCGCCCAGGCTGGAGTGCAACTCTGTCGCCCAGGCTGGAGTGTGATGGCGCAGTCTAGGCTCCCTGCAGCCTCTGCCTCCCAGGTTTCAAGCAATTCCCCTGCTTCAGCCTCCTGAGTAGCTGGGACTACAGGCGCGTGCCACCACACCCGGCTAATTTTTGTATTTTTAGCAGAGACAGGTTGGCCGTGTTGGCCAGGCTGGTCTCAAACCCCTGACCTCGTGATCTGCCCGCCTCAGCTTCCCAAAGTGCTGGGATTACAGGTGTGAGCCACCACGCCCGGCATGAAATATTTTTAATTAAAGTATTTTAAAAATAAACATAATCTGGGAGGCCGAGGCGGGCGGATTATGAGGTCAGGAGATCGAGATCATCCTGGCTAACACAGTGAAATCCCATCTCTACTAAAAAATACCAAAAAATTAGCCGGGTGTAGTGGCGGGCGCCTGTAGTCCCAGCTACTTGGGAGGCTGAGGCGGGAGAACGGCGTGAACCTGGGAGGCAGAGCTTGCAGTGAGCTGAGATCGTGCCACTGCACTCCAGCACTCTAGCCTGGGCGACAGAGTGAGACTCTGTCTCAAAAAAAAAAAAAATGAACATAAGAACACAAAATATAACTAAAGAATACTAATTTGAGTCAGACACCCCAAGAGAGGAGAGCATGAACAAAAGAATGAAGAGGCTGGGCATGGTGCATCACGCCTATAATCCTAGCACTTTCGGAGGCTAAGGTAGGAGACTTGCTTGAGCCCAGGAGTTCAAGACCAGCCTATACAACATAGTGAGACCCCATCTCTACAAAACATTAAAAAAAAAAAAAAAGAATGAAAAGAAAGTACACACCCTTAAAATCCAATTTACAACCATTCTCATGAGTGTGACAGGGGTAGTTCCAGTACTAACTGACCAAATACTATCAGGGTCGGCCTGTATGCATTTGGTGTGACTAAATCGTGTTCGCTGGCCATCTACCCTACTGAGGAGACTGTGCGCCAGTCATTACTGTTCATCGGGGGAAAGAACCTGGACGAGAATGTTCTGCCATTGGGGAAATGTTTTAAACACTCAGTTTTACATTTGAGCACTTTTTGGTAAGAGCTGGACTTGGATGCCAGAAGGGCAAAAGGGAGTTACCCCATTCATGTTATTTTAACATAGGCAATAAAGACATTCATGATAATCAGAGAAACCCACTGACCTCAGGATCTTTCCAGTTAACTTCAATAAACAATCATTCATTCAGCGAATATCCAGTAGGCACTAATGACCAAGCCATGAACAAGAGAATCTCAGTCTGCCTTCCATGTGAATTGCTCTATTGCATTCTGCCTTGTATGGAAAGGCACCTTTCAGACTATTAGCTCAAATTCAGGTCCAGTTCTTTGTAGCAAACAGTCCTGATGAATGTACAATACATGAGGGCAGGGACAAATGTCTGCCTGTGAGATGAGGAAGTTTTCATGGAGGAAAAACCTCATGACCCATGTCCCAAAGGACAAGTGGGATTCTAGAAGTAGAAAGGCGATGAAGTAATAAATTCATCACAAGATTTGAAAGCTGGGATGTTTCAGGGAGTGGCACTAGAGATGAAGACATTGGAAGGGGAATAGTGAGAAATAAAGCAGGCTGAAATCAGAGCCCACCTTACTCCACACCTCATTAAGGAGTCTGAACTTTATTTTGTGGGTAAAGGTGAGGTCACCAGAGGATTTGAACAGGTGAATGGCATGTTCCCTGATGAATCCTTTTTCATCTATAGCATACCTTAAAATATATTAATTCAAACCTTTCCCCAGTCCTCTCACATTTGGGTTTCAACTTATATAACCAAAATATTGAGGAGGGTGTGGTTTAAGGTCTAATTTCTAACTAGTAAGACCCCACTATTCATAAATTGGAAATCATCAAAATTTAAAATCTTTGTTCCTAAAAAGGGGCACCATCAAGAAAATGAAAGGACATGTCAGAATCCAAGAAAATTTTTGCAAATCATACAGCTGATAAGGCACTTGAATCTAGAATACATGAACAACTTTTATAACACCAATAAAAAGACAACCCATTAAAAAACGGGCAGAGCATTTGAATGGACATTTCTCCAAAGATTACACATACAAATGTTCACCAACCACATGAAAAGATGCTCAACATCATTAGCCATTAGGGAAACACAGATGACTAGAATCAAAAAGTCAGAGAGTAACAAGTGTTGGCAAGAATGTGGAGAATTTAGAACCTTCATATACTCTTGGTGAATACCGTAAAATGGTGCAGCTGCTTTGGAGAAGTCTGGCCATTCCTCCAATAGTTAAATATAGAGTTACCATACAACCCATCGATTACATTCCTAGGTAAATACTCAGGAGAAATGAAAACGTATGTTCACAGCATTATTCATAATAGCCAAAAAGGAAAAACACCCAAATGTTCATCAACTGATGAATGGATAAACAAAATACGGCATATCCAAACAATGGAATATTATTTGACCATTAAAAAAAAAAAATGAAGTACTATACAATACTACCACACATATAAACCTTGAAAATATGCTAAATAAGGGCAAGACACAAAAGACCACATAGTGTATGATTCCATTTACATGAAACGGGAGGACTTCTAAGGGGTATGGGGTTTCTTTTTGGGGGGGATGAAAATGTTCTAAAATTGACTGTGGTGACAGCTGCACAACTCTGTGAATATACCAAAAACCACAGAACTGTACACTTTAAACGGGTGAACTGTACAGTATGTCTCAATGAAGCTGTTATAAAACAAAAAAAGTTCCATTCTGCACTCTAGAAATACAAAGTACTCAGAAAGGAGTACAGAATCTTGTTCACTCACTTTAAAGGATCTGAACTAGGGCAAAGAAAACCCAGAGAGATTCTATTACTTAACATTCTAGGTACTAGGTCATACTGAAATATTCATGAAGAATTCTGTTTTAATACAGAAAAGGTATCTTAAGTTTAAAAAGACATACAAGTGTCAGAAAAGAGTTTTCATAATTCAAGGAGACAGTAACACAGAGAAGTCATAAATGGAAAACAAGCTTAAGAGGTTTTATCACATGGATTTGTACCTTGAAAATGCAAGTAGCTCTCAAATTTATTATTGCCCCACCCCTGGAAAAGAGGTCAAAGGTAAAACAGACCAATTAATAATATGTTTCTAAAGTACCAGTTTGTGACAAATCAAAATATGAGAAATTAAAATTTTGCCATCATAAAGAAGAGACTCGTCGACATACCCACTTATATAACTAAGAATTGATATTCATCCTTTTGAACATTCCATCTCATAGTCGTTAGAGTGACTCTCTTCCTCATGGTTGGAGTGGATCCCAGAAGTGACAGATAAGTTAAACATAAAACTTTTATCAAAAAATCCAACGGTGTTTAAAAAAATGCTATTCACTGACACCGAATCTAATCCTAAACTATATATAAATAAGTATAAATGCTGATTAGCACAATCTGCAGGCAAAGTAACAAAGGATCATGAAAAAGTCAATATTGTGTGCAGTTATGTTTCATCGGTATGTATCTATTAAAATTCATCAGGCTTTAATGTACCTTCCACAAGTAATCAAAATAAATATGGACAAGATAGGTTCTATATTTGTCAAAAATGTGTGCTCCTGACGTTTATACCAAATCTTTGTCCAATCCTCAGTACACACGACTAACCTCCACCACGAAACACTGCACTTCAAGACCTAAGGTACAACACAATTCTCAGTTTTATTTCACTTTTTTCCCTACTTATTTATGCGATTTCTCAGATCCAATGTTTACTATTATGCTTCATAGCCAAACATTATGACTGTGAAACATACCTCCAAACCAAAAATACTAGTTTCCTTAAATCATCTGAAATGTATAGAACCAAGTCCAAAATAGATTTTGCACATTTCTTCAGTTTTACAGGGAATGCAGAAAGTGAATTAATATTAAACAGGTATCTATTTGCCTTCACAACTGAACAGACGGTACAAAGCAACTGCTTATACTTAATCATGTTTCTGTCTATTCCAGCAGGCCCTGGTGTCAGGAGAACGTTCTGCCAGATAAGGACAATGAGATGCATTATTATATAGAGTGACTAAGAGCCCTACAAGTACTGTTTTAGAATGTAATCCCAGGCAGAAAGGCTGCGGTAAGAGGGCCTAATATTTTGTGGTAACTATTTCCAAAAGTAAATATATTCGCCACCCAGGACCAGTTTATTAAACGCGCACTACATTCAATTCTTTTCAAATGTCTTATAGGAGGGAAAAGCCTTTGTATCTTACCATGCCGGGGGAAATGAACAACTTGCAATTTGCTTCGCACTCTGAATCCCACGTTTGCAACATGTAGAGCAAGCACTTTAGACACCACAAAACAAGGGCAGCCTACATTACGGCCAAATATAGGATGTGTTTCTAAATCGTGATGCAGTAAAGCCTACGATTCCTTTTCCAGCGTTCAAAATCCTTTGAACACTCCCAAAAAAGGATGCCAGGGCCAGCGCCTCCCTCCAAGAGGAAGCCCCTTTCTTCTCAGCTCTCACCGCAGCCTGCCACTTCCCCCAACACATTCAAATCATTTGAGAGACGGAGAGCTGGGGAGCGTGCGCCGGTGGGGACAGGCGGGAGAGCTCGGTTTCTGCATTCCCACCCTCCACGTCTGACCTCATCCTCAGTCATTTCGGCGCAGCGGGGCCCCACCTGCACCTCGCTCCTTTTTACTGCGTCCCTCGCCAGCTGCCCCGCTATTAGGGAAACACACCTCTGAATCACCCAGTTCACTCGGACACCCTGGGCCCCCGATCCGACAGCCTTCCTGCTTCGTTCCTCCCCTCCCAACCCCCAGCCAGTCCCAGCCCTCTGCTCCCTTGGCCGGGCTCAGCCTCTTCCCAAGCCGCCCCCACCCACATTACTCCAGCTCCAGCTCTGCCCCGCCCCGCCTGACCCCCAACCGAGATCTGCAGGGCCCAGAGCTGGTCTCGCACCCAAAGCCAGGAAACCCGCAGGCCAGGCGGCCGCCCTCGCCCCTCCCGACGCAGGGCCCAGCTCGCCCCGGCCCCACGTGAGCCCGGCCCCTACCCGCCCCCACCCACTCGTTCCCTGGGGCGGCCCAAACCCAGTCCCCAGGCCTGGAGCCCCCGGGCTCTACGCCTCGCCCGAAGCAGCCCTTCCCTCCCAGCACCTCGCCCAAGCAGGCGATCCCTGACCCCTAAAAGCCTTCCCTGGGCAGCCTCGTCCCACCTCGGCCCGCGGCTCCGCACCCGGCCAGGAGCGTTCCGGACCTCGAAAGCCTCCTCCCCACAGGGACCCTGCTTCACGCTCCCCACGCCACCTGGTTCGGTCCCCAACTCCCTTTCCCCGAGCCCCCGACAGCAGCCCCCGGCCCTAACCCCTTGCAACCCAGCCCGTGAACCCGCGCCCCGCGCGCCCACCCAGCACTGTCCCCTCCACCTAGCCCTGCCCCTCGCCCCGCCGGCTCCTGTCAGGCGGCGCAGGCACATGCTCAGAGGACAGGTCCGCCCGCCCGACTCGCTCTCAGGCTGCCCCCGCCGGGCGCGAGCCGCTCACCCGGGCCGAGGTGCCTGAGGCGCCGCCGCCGAAGTCCCCGCTGCAAAGCCGGGCGAAGCCTCCAACCGCTGCCGCCTCCAGCCTGGCACTGAGCGCCGTGCGGGGGAGGGGCGCGGGCAGCCGCCACCGCCCCCGCCACCGCGCGTAGGCCCCGCCCCCGCGCCGCGCGGGACCCAACCAGGGCTGCCGGGCCGCTGTGCGCCACGCCCACTTCCGGAGGGGAAGCCCGCTTCCCACCCCACGTTCCACGCCTCGCTACGCCCCCTCTGGTCGCACCGAGGGATGCAGGCGGTGCCCAAGCGCACGCCCCGCTCTCCAGTCATCTGAGTGGTAGAGGGCCACGCCCACAGGCGCCTCCGAGCAACGCCCACTGCTCCTTAGACCCCGGAGCGGGGTTCTTAGAGCCCCGCCCACTGACCCGCTAGGCTCTGCAAGGCCACGTCCCCTGGCTCCTCAAAGATTCCCCCAGAGCCCCTCAATACAGGAACATTAGCTCCTCTGAGCCCCGCGCACTGCCTATCCGAGTCCTTAAACCAGCCTCCTGCTTCCCTAAGCCCGGCTCCCCTCCCACTGCTTCAGAACTCGCCCAGCGGCCTCACAAAGCCCCGCCCCGTCTTCCAGAAGCCCCGCCCAAGGACCGCAACCCTATTCCTAGCATCTCAAGCCCCGCCCACTACCCCATCTCAACGTTTAAACCCCAAGCCCCGCCCCGAATTCGCGAATCCACGCCTCTGGCTCCCGAGGCTCCGCCCTGGCTCCGTCACACCCTACCACCACCTCCCTTGAGGACTGCCGACGTTCCAGCCCTCCCTGAACCGTCCATTGTCACATTCCTAGTGCAGAGTGGCCGCCCCTGGGCTGGGCCACACCCACGTAACCCCAAAGAGGGCCCGTGATTGACCCCATTTCGCAGGTGAGGGAATGGAAACTTCAGGGTTCCTCCCTTCCTTTCCCTGGCCAGAGTCCCTTAATAACTCGGCGGCCCAGGCCTGAAAGTCGGAGCACGGGAATTTGAGCCTCAGCTCTGCGGCCGTCAGACTGTGTGACCTGGGACAGTTCTCTTACCTCTTTGGGCCTGAGTCCCCTAATCTTCAGCATGAAGAAGTTGTCCTGTTAATAGCTAAAGTCCCTTTCTGAAACACCAAGCTCTGAAATACCGAGATTTGAGGAAACAGAGCCTGGGGAACCGAACCGACTGTGGGGTAGGGCTATTTACTTCCCAAAGCAAGGCATCTTTGCCATTCACAGGGGGATTTTTTATTTTAAGCGTCAGCCTCAGAAACGTGTGTTATTTAAATCAAGCTTGACCTGAACTAAGACAGCTATCACAGCAAATTATTTATCCTCTCTAAGGGTCAGTTTCTTTATCTGTAAAATGGGGATAACAGCCCCTCCCTCACAGGGTTCCATGAGATCATATTAGCAGCCATGATCGTGGCATTACTTTTTGCCATTAAAAGGAATGGCAAAAACCGCGATTACTTTTGCACCAGGATAATAGTAATATACTTAGAAGAGTTCCTGGCTTGTGATAAACGCTCGACAGTACCTGTTGCTGCTACTGCTGGGACTCAACAAAATGAAAGGATGGGTTTTATTTTGCCTTCAAGCAGCCACTCCTAATAGGAGGAATTCAGCACCCTTCCTGCAGTAAGATTTGCCACTCACTTTATTTAAATGAGATAAACGTGATGAAACGCCTACTGCAGTGCCTGCCATATGGTGAGGCTCAAAAACAATTCACTTGTTTTTGTTTGTTTGAGACACAGTCTTGCTCTGTCGCTCAGGCTGGAGTGCAGTGGGGCAGTCCACGGCTCACTGCAGCATGGACCTCCCGGGCTCAAGTAATCCTCCCACCTCAGCCTCCCACGTAGCTGAGACTACAGGCACGCGCCACCATGCCCAGCTAAATTCTTAACATTTTTCTGTAGAGATGAAGTCCTGCTATGTTGCCCAGGCTGGCCTCAAACTCCTGAGCTCAAGAGATCCTCCCACCTCGGCCTCCCAAAGTGTTGGGATTACAGGTATGAGCCACTGTGCCCACAATTCAATAGTTTTGAACAATAAAAGTTGTTTTTTTAAAATCCACTAGTTAATAAATTAAACAGGGGCATTGATAGCAGTGAGTTCTGAGTGCTTTGGGGAAAATGAAGATTGGTAAAGTGCTTTGAGTTCCTTTTTTTTTGAGACGGAGTCTTGCTCTGTCGCCCAGGCTGGAGTACAGTGGCGCGATCTCAGCTCACTGCAAGCTCCGCCTCCCAGGTTCACGCCATTCTCCTGCCTCAGCCTCCCGAGTAGCTGGGACTACAGGCACCCGCCACCACGCCCGGCTTATTTTTTGTATTTTTAGTAGAGACGGGGTTTCACCATGTTAGCCAGGATGGTCTCGATCTCCTGACCTTGTAATCCACCCGCCTCGGCCTCCCAAAGTGCTGGGATTACAGGCGTGAGCCACCGCGTCCGGCCGAGTTCCAACTGGAAACCACGGAGTAAGCTAGCTTATTCTTTGGAAACAGATTATTGCTAACATTTATCCATCACTTAGACATGCTAGGCACTATCTGAGTGCTTTACATGCAGAATCTTCTGAAATTGCTCAACAATCCTATGGCCACAGAAATAATTCTTTTTTTTTTTTCTTTTTGAGACGGGGTCTCACTCTTTTGCCCAGGCTGGAGAGCAGTGGCTCCATCTGGCTCACTGCAGCCTCGAACTACCAGGCTCAAGCAATCCTTCCACCTCAGCCTTCCAAGCAGCTAAAACTGCAGGTGCACACCACTTTGCTCACTAATATTTTTACTTTTTGTACAGATGGGGTCTTGTTTTGTTGCCCAGGCTAGTCTCAAATTCCTGGCCTCCCAAAGGTGTTGAAATTACAAGCATGAGCCACCACACCCAGCCCAGAAGGGACTCCTAATC
The DNA here is from genome assembly GCF_000001405.40 of Homo sapiens. Taxonomy (NCBI): domain Eukaryota; kingdom Metazoa; phylum Chordata; class Mammalia; order Primates; family Hominidae; genus Homo; species Homo sapiens. Next base: position 108,734,348 of record NC_000012.12, read on the forward strand.
CCCACCTATAAAGGTGAGGAAACTGAAGACTCAGAGAAGTTAAATTCCTTGTCCAAGTCACATGGCTTGAACCACGTAGAACCCACATCCATCTAAATGCAGAGCCTGCACCCTTAGCCAGTTAGTCATTACACTAAACTGCCTCTGTGGCAGCATGACAGAACAGAAAAACCGTGGACTTTGGATTCTGGCCGGTTTAGGTTTAAATTCAGGCTCCACCTATTACTCATTGTGTGACGTTCAGCAAGTCACTTCCCCTCTGAGCTGAGCCCTATTCTTCTGCCTATATATCACTGGGAATCATGTAAATGCTTCAGGAAGTGGTTTTGAATATTCAGGAGTTTAGATTCAATGAATTAGGACGTGGCAAAGCACCCAACACAGTGCCCAGCACAAAATAGTTGTTTTAAAACATGTTGATGTTTAAAAATCACAGGGTTCCGGCCAGGAGTGGTGGCTCACACCTGTAATCCCAGCACTTGGGAGGCTGAGGCAGGCGGATTGTTTGAGGTCAGGAGTTCGAGACCAGCCTGGGCAATATGATGAAACCCCGTCTCTACTAAAAATACAAAAATTAGCCAGGCATGGTGGCACGCGTCTGTAATCCCAGCTACTTGGGAGGCTGAGGCAGAAGAATTGCTTGAACTCGAGTTTGGAGGTGGAGGTTGCAGTAAGCCTAGATAGCGCCACTGCACTCCAGCCTGGGCGAGAGTGAGACTCTGAAAAAAAAAATAGAAATAAATAAAAATAAAAAAATCTTGGGGTTCCATGAGATCATAGATAAATGATGAAGTTAGAAGTGATGAAATGATAATGATGAAATTAGAAGAATTCCCCCCGCCAGATGATACCGCCAAAAAGCAGCCATGGAATATGCTACGAAAGATCCCAAGGCCTTCATCTTCTGACTGCCTCTTTCAGTTCCTGGTTTGAGCCCTGCATTTGAGGAGGTGATTCTTGCACAGGAAGCACCCAATGCCAGAAGCAATGCCACCTCACTTTCACTCCATGCCTATCCCAAATGTGGTCAGCTGAGAGCTGCTTACTTCCAGAAACAGGAAAACTGCATAACTCTGCTGGGAGAAAGCCCCATCATCTCATTGTTCTTGAACCTACAGCAATTGCTTTGTGGGCCTGAAAGAAACCTTGGCTCTGTCCAAGCTGGCCCTAAAGGGAGGGATCCAAGTCCAGGTGAGATGCTGGATTTAAGAGTTTTTTCCTGCTCTCAAAAGCTGGTGATTTCTAAAGTGGCTTAAGACAGGTGCTAGATGGAGAGGAATTTAATGATCAGGAAAAATAAAAATGATTCCAGACCACACATGATATAGATGCCAGCTTATGTATGAAGTGGAAAGAACTGTGGGCCCAGCATCCAGAGGCTCCTTAGCAAATCATTTTTCTATTTTTTCTGAGTACCAAATGGGGACATTTGTTTTAGGTTGCTAGGGCAACCTAGAAGCTCAGTGAATTACCCTGTGGAAGCATTAACAAATAATAATATTATTAAATAAATGAGACTGGAAGTCCCTAGAGTAATCTCAGTAGACAAGACCCCTAATTGAGCGATAGAAGACAACAAAATTTGAAGAGCACTAAAATTCACTCTACATTGATAAATCTTCATTCTCACCACTTTGGGTACTTCTTTCTGCAAAATAGAGACTGGAAAAATACTGAATGATTGACAGGCTACAGACAAATGCCTTTTTTAAAATTAAAATTGTAATTTTGAGATAATTACAGATTCACATACAAGTGTAAGAAATAATACAAAGAGGCCAGGAGTGGTGGCATGCGCCTGTAATGCCAGCTACTTGGGAGGCTGAGGCACAAGAATTGTCTGAACCCAGGAGGTGGAGGTTGCAGTGAGCCAAGATCACGCCACTGCATTCCAGCCTGAGTGACAGAGCGAGACTCTGTCTCATTAAAAAGAGAGAGGGAGGGAGAGAGAGAGAGAGAGAGAGAGATCATGTGTGGGCCAGGTACAGTGGCTCATGCCTGTAATCCTAGCACTTTGGAGGCCAAGGCAAGTGGCTCACTTGAGCTCAGAAGTTTGAGACCACTCTGGGCAACTTAGTGAAACCCCATCTCTACAAAAAATTTAGCGAAAAATAACAACAAAAAAAAGAGAGATCACATGTACCCTTTATGCAGTTTCCTCCAGTGGTAACATCTTGCAAAACTGTAGTACATTATAACCTGGATATTGACATGGATACAGTCAATGTCAATATAGATGTTGAAAATATTTCCATCACCACAAGGATACTTCATGTTCCCTTTGATAGCCACACCCACTTCCACCTTCCGTTCATCCATCCCCTCCTTAAGCCCTGGCAACCACTCATCTGTTCTACATTTCTAAAATTTTGTCATTTCAAGAATGTCATGTAAATGGAATCATATAGTATGTAACCTTTTAGAATTGACTGTTTTCACCCTGCATAAATCTCTGGAGATGCATCCAGGTTGTTGCATGTGTGAGTAGTTTGTTCCTTATTATTGCTGAGTAGTGTTCCATGGTACACATGCACCACGGTTTAAATATTCACCCATTGAAAGACATATTGTTTGACCTATTCACCCATTGAAGGACACAGGTTGGAGCTATTATGAATAAAGCTGGTATAAACGTTATAAACATTCATGTACAGCTTTTTGTGTGAACGTACGTCTTCATTTCTCTGTGAAAAGTTCCCAGGAGTCCAATTGCTGTGTTATATGGTAGTCGTATGTTCAGTATTTTAAGAAACTGTCAAACTGTTTCCCAGAATGGTTGACCCATTTTACATCCCCACCTACCAGCAATCTATGAGTGCCAGTTTCTTTGCATCTTTGTCAGCATTTGATGTTGTCACTATATTTTATTTTAGCCATTCTGATAGGTATAGAGTAATACCTCATTGTGGTTTTAATTTGCATTTTCCTGTTGGTTAATAATGTTCAAAATCTTTTCATGTTCTTATTTGCTATTTATTTATTTTAAAAAAAATTTTTTTTTTTTTTTCTGAGACAGAGTCTCGCTCTGTCACCGAGGCTGGAGTGCAGTGACGTAATCTCAGCTCACTGCAATCTCCGCCTCTTGGGTTCAAGTGATTCTCCTGCCTCAGTCTCCCAAGTAGCTGAGATTACAAGCACCCACCACCATGCCCATTTAATTTTTGTATTTTTAGTAGAGATGGGGTTTCACCATGTTGGCCAGGCTGGTCTTGAACTTCTGACTTCAAGCAATACACCTGCCTTGGCCTCCCGAAGTGCTGGGATTACAGGCGTGAGCCAGCACACCTGGCTCTTATTTGCTATTTATATGTCTCTTCATGTCTTGCTAATTTTCTTTTCTTTTCTTTTTTTTTTTTTTTTTTTTTTTTTTGACAGGGTCTCACTCTATCACCCAGGCTAAAGTACAGTGGCATGATCATAGCTCACTGCAGCCTTGAACTCCTGGGCTCAAGTGATCCTTCTGCCTCAGCTTCCCCAGTAGCTGGGACTACAGGCATACACCACCACATCAGTTAATTTTTAAATTATATTTTGTAGAGATGGGGGTCTCACTGTGTTGCCAAGGCTGATCTCAAACTCTGGGCTAAGCAGTCCTCCCGCCTTAGCCTTCCAAAGTGCTGGGATTACAGGCATGAGCCACTGCACCCTGCCAATAGCACTATATTTTTTATTACAATGTCCATGAGTTCATGGCTAGTATATTGGAATACAATTAGTTTTTCTATGTTTACCTTATATCCCGGGGCCTTGTTGAAGTCACCTTTTAGTTCTACAAACTGTTTTATAGATTCCTTGGGATTTCCTACAGAAACAATCATGTCACCAGAAAATAGAGATGATTTTAATTTTTTTCTTTCCAATCTGTGTGTCGCTTATGCCCATTTCTTGCCTTATTACACTGGCTAGCACCTCCAGCACTATGCTGAGTGCTGCATAGTGAGTGAAAGCAAAGTGAGTGAAAGCAAAGCATAGTGAGTGTTGCATAGTGAGTGAAAGCTGCATAAGGAGTGAAAGCAAACGTCTTTGCCTTGTTCTTGACCTTTGGCAGGAAGCATTCAGTCTTTCATCATTAAGTGTAATGTTAGCTGCAGTTTGTTTTTTTTTTTGTAGATGCTCTTTATCAAATTGAGGAATTTGGCTGGTCTGAAAGTAGTGAGTTATCTCAATGGACTTTTTACAGTCAGTTACAGATCAAACTCCATGTACTACTCTTCCCCTCTCCCCCCACTTCTCACTACTGCACTTGATTATTCTTTAAAAAAAATCAAGGAATTTCTCCTTCATTCCTATTTTTAAGAGATTTTTAAATCATGAATACCTGTACTACACTGAATGATATATGATTTTTCTTCTTTAGCCTGTTAATATGGTGCATTACATTGATTTCTGAATACCAAGCAAGCCTTGCATCCCTGGAATAAATCCCACTTGGTTAAGGTAGACAATTCTTTATACAGATTGCTGAATTCCATTTGCTAATTTATTGTTAAGCATTTTTGTTTTGTTTTTTTCTTTTCTTTTCAGACAGGGTCTCACTCTGTTGCCCGTGCTGGAGTGCAGTGGCACAATTTCGGCTCACTGCAGCCTAGACCTCCCAGGCTCAGGTGATCCACCCACCTCAGCCCCCTAGGCAGCTGTAACTACAGACATCCACCACACCCGGTTAATTTTTGTATCTTTTGTAGAAATGGGTTTTCGCCGTATTGCCCAGGCTGGTCTCGAACTCCTGGGCTCAAGCGATCCTCCCACTTCAGTATCCCAAAGTACCAGAATTACAGGCATGAGCCACCATGCTCGACTGCATTTTTGTTTCTATACTCATGTGAGATATTAATCTGTAGTTCCACCTTGTGTCTTGCTCTGTCGCCCAGGCTGAAGTGCAGTAGCGTCATCTCGGCTCACTGCAACCTCCACCTCCTGGGTTCAAGCAATTCTCCTGCCTCAGCCTCCTGAGTAGCTGGGATTATAGGCATGTGCCACCACACCCAGCTAATTTTTCTGTATTTTTAGTAGAGACAGGGTTTCACCATATTGGCCAGGCTGGTCTCAAATTCCTGACCTTGTGATCCGCCCACCTCGGCCTCTCAAAGTGCTGGGATTACAGGCATGAGCCGCCCCGCCCGGCCCAGTAGTTCCACCTTTTCGTAAAACTCTGGTTTTAACATCAGAGTTAACACTCGCTTAGTAAAATGAATTGGAATATGTTTCCTTCTCTTCTATTTTCTGGAAGAGATTTTGCAGGTAACTGTTAATTCTTTAAATGTTTGGTAAACTTCTCCAGGGAAACCATTTCAACCTAGAGATTCCTCTTTGGGGATCTGTTACATTACAAATTCAATTTCCTTAATAGTTACAGGGCTATTCAAACTGTCTATTCTGTAGTGGGTGAGTTACGGTAGTTTTTGTTTTTAAAGGAATTGGTCTATTTCGCTTATCAAGTTTGATGTATGCAGTGATAGCCCCTCTTTCATTCCTGATACCGAAAATTTGTGTCTTCTTTTTCTTTTCTTTTCTTTTGTTTGAGCCGGAGTCTCGCTCTTTCACCCAGGCTGGAGTGAAATGGTGCAATCTCGGCTCACTGAAATTTCTGCCTCCCAGTTCAAGTAATTCTCTGCCTCAGCCTCCCGAGTAGCTGGGATTACAGGCACCCGCCACCATGCCCAGCTATTTTTGTATTTTTAGTAGAGACAGGGGCTTCACCATCTTGGCCAGGCTGGTGTTGAACTCCTGACCTCATGATCCACCCGCCTCGGCCTCCCAAAGTGCTGGGATTACAGGCATGAGCCACCATGCCCAGCCAATTTGTGTCTTCTTTTTCCTTCTTGGTTAGTCTTAGCAGAGAATTGTCAATTTTACTGAAACTTTTCAAGAACTAGTTTTTATTTCATTGATTTTTCTCTATTGTTTTCTTGCTTTCCGTTTCATTGATTTGTGCTCTTTACAATTTCCTTCCTTCTGTTTGCTTTGGGTTTATTTTGCTCCCCTTGTCCTATGTTCTTTAAGTGGAAGCTTAGATGATTGATGTGGGACTTTTATTTTCTTTCTTTCTTTTTTTTTAAATGGAGTCTCACTCTGTCACCCAGGCTGGAGTGCAGTGGCATGATCTTAGCTCACTGCAACCTCTGCCTCCCAAGTTCAAATGATTCTCCTGCCTCAACCTCCCAAGTAGCTGCGATTACAGGCTTGCACCACCATGCCTAGCTAATTTTCGTATTTTTAGTAGAGACGAGGTTTCACCATGTTGGTCAGGCTGGTCTTGAACTCCCAAACTCAGGTGATCCACCCTCCTCAGCCTCTCAAAGTCCTGGGATTACAGGTGTGAGCCACCACACCTGGCCTGATGTAGGACATTTTAAACATATGTATGTAGTGCTGTGAAGTCCCCTCTCAGCCCTTGTTTACCTGTGTGCCACAAATTTTGATATGTTATATTGTCACTTTCATTCAGTTTAATGTATTTTTAAATTTCCTTTGAAACTTTCTCTTTGAGACATGGGTTACTTATAAGTGTGTTGTTTAGTTTGCAAGTGTTTGGAGACTATTCTGTTATCTTTCTGTTCTTGGTTTCTAATTTGATTCCTTTGTGGTTGAAGAATACACTGTGTATGATTTTAATTCTTTTAAATTTGTTGACATTTGTTTATGGTCTAGGATATGGTCTATCATGGTATATGTTCTATGGGCACCTGAAAAGACTGTGTATTCTGCTGCTGTTTAGGGAAATGTCCTATATGTGTTGATCAGATCCCATTGGTTGATGATGTTGAGTTCTTCTATATTCTTGCTGATTTTCTGTCAAGTTATTCTATCAGTTATTGAGAGAAGAGTATTGAAATCTTAAACTATAGGGCCAGGCACAATGGTGCATGCCTGTAATACCAGCACTTTTGGAGGCCGAAGTGGGTGAATCACTTGAGGTCAGGAGTTTGAGACCAGCCTGGCCAACATGATGAAACCCCATCTCTACTGAAAAAATACAAAAATTAGCCAGGCGTGGTGGTGGGCACCTGTAATCTCAGCTACTCAGGAGGCTGAGGCAGGAGAATTGCTTGAATCCAGGAGGTGGAGGTTGCAGTGAGCTGAGATCCAGCCTGGGTGACAAAGCAAGGCCATGTCTTAAAAAAAAAAAAAAAGGAAGAAAGAAATCTTAAACTATAATGATAGATCTGTCTATTTCTCTTTTCAATTCTATTAGTTTTTGCCTCACATATTCTGCAGCTCTGTTGTTTGGTGCACACATGTTTAGGATTGTTAGGACTACTTGGTGGATTGCCCGTTTGTCATTATACAATGTCCTTCTCTGTCTCTCAGTCTTCTTTGCTCCGAAGTATACTTTATCTAATACTAACATAGCTATCCCTGCAATCTTTTGATTAATGTTTGCCTGATATTATTTTCCCATCCTTTTACTTTCTTTTTTTTTTTTTTTTGAGGAGTCTCACTCTGTTGCCAGGCTGGAGTACAGTGGCGCTATCTCTGCTCACTGCAACCTCCACCTCCTGGGTTCAAGCGATTCTTCTGCCTCAGCCTCCGGAGTAGCTGGGACAACAGGCACATGCCACCAGGCCCAGCTAATTTTTGTATTTTTAGTAGAGGCGGGGTTTCACCTTGTTGGCCAGGATGGTCTCGATCTCTTGACCTTGTGATCTGCCCACCTTGGCCTCACAAAGTGCTGGGATTACAGGTGTAAGCCACTGCACCCAGCCACCATCCTTTTACTTTCAACCCACTTGTATATTTGAAGTGAGTTTCCTGTGGACAACATGTAGTTGGTTCATGCTTTTTCGGTCTACTCTGCCAAGTTCTGTCTTTTTTTTTTTTTTTTTTGACAGAGTCTCACTCTGTTGCCCAGGCTGAGTGCAGTGGCATGATCTCTGCTCGCTGCAACCTCTGCCTCCCGGGTTGAAGCAATTCTCCTGCCTCAGCCTCCACACGCCACCACAGGCACATGCCACCACAACCGGCTAATTTTTTTTGCCATGTTGGCCAGGCTGGTCTCAAACTCCTGACCTCAGGTGATCCACCCACCTCAGCCTCCCAAAGTGCCGGGATTACAGGCATGAGCCACTGCACCCAGCCATAAGTTCTGTCTTTAATTAGTGTGTTTAGACCCTTTACATTTAAGGTAATTATTGATATATTAGAGCTTAAGTCTGCTGTTTTATTTTGTGCTTGTGCTTGTTCTCTCTATTTTTCATTTCTGTTTCCTTCTTACTGCCTTCCTGTGGGATTTTTAGAGTTTCTTTTGATTTATCTATAGTGTTTTTGAGTGTATCTCTTTGCATAGCACTTTTAGTAGTTGTTCTAGGTACCACATTATAGATGGATGGATAGATAGAGATATACAGGTAGATATCCACAAAAAATAGAAGATATAAGAAAGAACCAAATGGAAATTTAGAACTGAAAAATATAACTAAAAGAATCCAATGGGTGGACTCAACAACAGAATAGAGGGGGCAGAGGAAAAAAATCAATGAACTTGAAGACAGAGCTATAGGAATTACCCAATCTGAAAACAATAGAGAGAAAATAGACTTCGGTCTCCAAAAAAAAGATAAAATAGACTTCATGTAGTTCTATGAAGTCCTTTCTCAGCCCTTGTTTAGCTGTACGACACAAATTTTGATATGTTGTATTATCACTTTCATTCAGTTTAATGTTTTTTTAAATTTCCTTTGAAACTTTCTCTTTGAGACATGGGTTACTTATAAGAGTGTTGTTTAGTTTCCAAGCGTTTGGAGATTATTCTGTTATCTTTCAAAAAACTACACAGAACCTCAGGGACCTTGGGACTATAACAAAAGACTTAGCTTTCGTGACATCAGAATTTCAGAAGGACAGGAGAAAGAGGGTGGGGCTGAAAAAGTACTTGAAGAAATAGTGGCCAAACACTTCCCAAATTTGGAATAAAGATTCCAAAAATCTACAGAAGCTAAACAAAACTCAAACAGGATAAACCCACAGAAGCTCACGCCAACACACATCATAGTCAAACTTCTGAAAACTAAAGACAAAGAAAAAATCTTGAAAGCAGTGAGAGAGCAACAATACCCTACCTATCATAGAAAATCAATTTGAACAACAATAGTTTTCTTATCAGAAACCAAGGATCTCAGAAGAAAGTGGCACCGCTTCTTTTTTTTTTTTTTTAAGACAGGGTCTTGCTCTGTCTCCCAAGCTGGAATGCAGTGACATGATCATAGCTCACTGCAACCTTGACTTCCTGAGTTCAAGCAATCCTTCTGCCTTAGCCTCCCAAGTAGCTGGGACTACAAGCATGCACAATCATGCCCAGCTAATTTTTAATTTTTTTGTAGAGACGGGGTCTTGCTGTGTTACCTAGGCTGGTCTCAAACTCCTGGCCTCCAGCAATCTTCCAACCTCCACCTTCCAAAGTGCTGGGATAATAGGCATGAGCCACTATGCCCAGCCAGGACAGCATTTTTTAAGTGCTGAAAGAAAGAACTATCAACCCAGAAAACAATATCTAGTGAAAATGTTCTTCACTACTGAAGAGGAAATCAAGACATTCTCAGATGAAGGAAAAGTAAGAGAATTTGTCACCAGTAGACCTTCCCTAAAAGAATGGAAAGAGAGGCCGGTGGCAGTGGCTCACGCCTGTAATCCTAGCATTTTGGGAGGCCAAGGCGGGTGGATCACAAAGTCAGGAGTTGGAGACCAGCTTGGCCAATATGGTGAAACCCCATCTCTACTAAAAACATAAAAATTAGCCGGGTGTGGTGGTGTGTGCCTGTAATCTCAGCTACTTGGGAGGCTGAGGCAGGAGAATCACTTGAACCTGAGAGGCAGAGGTTGCGGTGAGCCAAGATTGCACCACTGCACTCCAGCCTGCATGACAGAGCAAGACTGCCAAAAAAAAAAAAAAAAAAAAAAAAAAAGGAAAGAGGAAGTTCTCTAAACAGAAAGGAAATGATAGAAGAAGGAACCTTGGAACATTAGGAGGGAAGAAAGAACGTGGTCATCTGAAGTGTAAGTAAATACAGACTTTTCTTCTCTTCCTGAGTTTTCTAAATTATGACCAATGGTTAGAGTAAAAATTATAACACTAATCTGGTTCTAAATGTATGTAGAGGAAATATTTAAGACAATTATAATACAAACAGAAGAGTATAAGAAAACATAAGGGAGATAAGACTCTATACTTGAACTGGTAAAATGACAACACCAGTAGACTATGAAGATAGATAGATGATTGACAGATAAATAGATAGAGAGAGAGAGAGAGAATAAACATCAGATCTGATTCTGATGACTTTCTATTTTCTTACATTTGTTTCAGTCACGTTTGCAATTGGTTGCTAAGCATTTCTATGATGACTGCTTTAAAAACATTGTCAGCTAATTCTAACATCTCTATCATCTTTGCATTGGCACATATTGATTGTCTTGTTTCATTCGGTTTCAGATCTTCCTGGTTCTTTGTGTGAGTTATTTTCAATCAAAACCTGGACATTTTAGGTATTATGTTATGAAACTCTGGATCTCATTTAAACTTTTTTTTTTTTTTTTTGAGATGCAGTCTTGCTCTGTCACTCAGGCTGGAGTGCAGTGGCATGATCATAGCTCACTGTAATCTTGAACTCCTGGGCCCAAGGGATCCTCCTACAAGCCTCCTGAGTAGCTAGGACTACAGGTACCACCATACCTGGCTTTTAAAAAACTTTTTTTTTTTTTTGAGATGGAGTCTTGCTCTGTCACCCAAGCTGGAGTGCAGTGGTGTGATCTCAGCTCACTGCAACCTCCACCTCCCGGGTTCCAGTGATTCTCCTGCCTCAGCCTCCCGAGTAGCCTGGATTACAGGCACGCATCACCATGCCCAGCTTATTTTTGTATTTTTAGTAGAGATGGGGTTTCCCCATGTTGGCCAGGCTGGTCTCGAACTACTGACCTCAGGTGATCCACCCGCCTCGTCCTCCCAAAGTGCTGGGATTACAGGTGTGAGCCACTGTGCCTGGCCTAAAAAAATTTTTTTTATAGGGACAGTGTCTTGCTATGTTGCCCAGGCCGGTCTCGAACTCCTGGCCTCAAACAATCTTCCCATCTTGGCCTCCCATACATCTTCCATTCATTTTATATGGTGCTACTTGACACCACTACAGCAGAGTGGGGGTGGGAGTTCCTCCTCATTAATGCCAGGAGGGGTGGAAGTTCTCCAGTCAGCCTCTGATGAAAGCTGATGGGCAGGGTGGGAGACTTCTCTTATTTCTGGGTGGAAGTGGGACTTGTGGTTCCCCACCTGCTCTGCTGATACCTTCCTGGCTGGGAGAGGTAGAAGTGCCTCACTGGTGTTCCCCATGTGTCTTCCTTTGACATCATGGGAAAGTGTTCCCAGGCAGTGGCGACAGTCCCAACGCTCCTTGCTGCCTCCCCTGACAGCACCCGATGGGGGAGAAGGAGGAGCACATCGTTACTGTCAGATGGGAGTAGAAATGCACACTCCTCATGTGATGGCCACTTGAACCACAGGGAGAGGCCTCATGACCACCTGATGGGAATGGAAGTCCCTACTCTCTATTCCGCCTTCTCTGATGCCACCTCATGGCATTGTGGGAACATCCATGAGGAAATGCAGGTTGCACACTTGGCTCAGGGCCCACCATATGCTGGGGGCTGAGTCCATGCATGGTAGCCATGATGGTTTGAGCTAATGCCAGAAGCCCTGGTGTGATGACCAGTCCTGCCATTTCCTGGCTTTGTGATCTTGGTCAAGTTATGCCACCTCTTTGGGCCTCTGTTTCCTCATCTCTTCAGTGGAGAGAAATGATGCTCATCTGAGATTATGTCTGCGAGAGCACCTGCTACTGATCCTTAATACAGATAAATACCACAGTTGAGCTGGTACTTATTAAGCATTTACCGCCCACCAGGCCAGTGATACCAACTTCCCAGGCATTAACTCAGTGAAATGGCTTTTTTAATCCCCATTTTACAGAGGAAGAAACTGAGGCTCAGAGAGGTAAAGCCTCTTGCTCATGGCCACACTGCTGGCCCCACTGCACTGAGTCTACTTCTTGATAGAGTGTGCCACCTTCTCCGTGTCTAAGAATAAGAGGAACCATTAAAAGTTTAAGATCTGATTCACCAGAGAAAACCTCTGGCTCAGGGATCTGCACAGCTCCTACTCTGATTAAATATAAAAAAATCGGCCAGGCAGCCAGGTGCAGTGTCTCACATCTGTAATCCCAGCACTTTGGGAGGCCTAGGCAGGTAGATCACGAGGTCAAGAGGTCAAGACCATCCTGGCCAACATGGTGAAACCCTGTCTCTACTAAAAATACAAAAAAAAAAAAATTAGTTGGGCATGGTGGCACGTACCTGAAATCCCAACTACTCGGGAGGCTGAGGCAGGAGAATCGCTTGAACCTGGGAGGTGGAGGTTGCAGTGAGCTGAGATTGCGCCACTGCACTCCAGCCTAGAGACAGATCAAAAAAAAAAAAAAAAAAAATCGGCCAGTTGCGGTGGCTCACGCCTGTAATCCTAGCACTTTGGGAGGATCAGTTGAGCCCAGGAGTTTGAGACCAGCCTGGGCAACATAGTGAGACCCCATCTCTATGAAAAAAATACATAAAATAGAAACATGAGATGTTAATACAGAGGTAACTGGGTGTGGGGTTATATGGAAACTCTGTACTATTTTGCAACTTTTCTGTAAATCAAAGTCTATCCTAAAATAAAAGTTTCCTTAAAAATACAGTGCCTGACAGCTACTCAGGAGGCTGAGGCAAGAGAATTGCTTAAACCCAGGAGGCGGAGGTTGCAGTGAGCCAAGATCACGCTATTGCACTCCAGCCTGGGTGACAAGAGCGAAACTTCGTCTCAAAAAAAGAAAAAGAAAAAGAAAAGAAAAAAAAGACAACTACAGCGTCTGGGCTGGGTACAGTGGCTCATGCCTGTAATCCCAGCACTTTGGGAGGCTGAGGTGGGAGGATCACTTGAGCCCTTTGCAATATATCTTTGCAGCTCTTTTCATCAAGAGACAAAATCTGTTTCCCAGTGCTTGAATCTGGACTGGTCTTCTAAATTGCTTTGGCCAATAGGATGCAACAGAAATAACTATCCTGGCATTTCTAGGCTTAGGCCTCAAGAGATCTTGAACATTTTCACTTGCTCTCCTGGAACCCTGATGCTGCCACGTGAACAAGCCCAGGCAACCTTACTGGAAGAAGAGAAGCATCAACTCCAACACATGAGTGAGGTTATCCTAGACCAGCCAAACCCCATCAACCACAAACATGAGTAAGCCCTGCAGAGACCCACCGAGCCCAATCCGGATCAACCAAACCTCCCAGCCTGCTTTAAACTTGTGAGTAAATAATAAATACATATTATTTCAAGTCACTGAATTTGGGGGAGGTTTGTTACACAGTGAGAGCTACCTGATACAAACCCAAAAGACATCAGAAAAGGTGTTCTACTTCGACCCAATAATTTCACTCCAGAAATGTATCCTAAAGTAATTCTCATGATCACATACACAGATAGAGTCAATTCTCATTATTCATGGTACTTATTCTACAAAGTCACCAAGAACACTGAATTAGCAAATACTAAACCATTGCTCCTAGGGGAAATACATGGTTAGGTGCCTGCAAGCTTTTGGTCACGACATTTTAGTCAACCAATCAATATACAAGCTTTTTTTATGTGTGTTTCTGTTTAAAGACACCCCCCTTATTATTATTATTATTTTTGACAGGGTCTCACTCTGTTGTCCAGGCTGGAGTGCAGTGGAGCAATCACGGATCACTGCAGCCTCAACCTCTCCCAGTTCAGGTGATCCTCCCACCTCAACCTCCTGAGTAGCTTGGACTATAGGCATGTACCACCATGCCCAGCTAGTTCTTCTGTTTTGGGTAGAGACGGGGTTTTGCCACATTGCCCAGGCTGGTCTTAAACTCCTGGGCTCAAGTGATCCTCTCACCTCGACCTCCCAAAGTCCTAGGATTACAGGCATGAGCCATCACACCTGGCCAAAGCCACCATATAAAGTATTGTTGATTAATATATATTGTTGGGCCAGGAGCGATGGCTCATGCCTGTAATCCCAGCACTTTGGGAGGCTGAGACAGGCGCATCACCTGAGGTTGGGAGTTCGAGATCAGCCTGATCAACATGGAGAAACCCCATCTCTACTAAAAATACAAAATTAGCCGGGTATGGTGATGCATGCCTGTAATCCCAGCTAATTGGGAGGCTGAGACAGGAGAATTGCTTGAACCTGGGAGGCGGAGGTTGCGGTGAGCTGAGATCACACGATTGCCCTCCAGCCTGGACAACAAGAGCGAAACTCCATCTCAAAAAAAAAAAAAATCTCTATATATATATATGTTCAATTCATTCACATCAAACTCACAGCCAATACCATAATACCTCATGTTTGAATGAAGTGTATCTAACACATGTATTTTCCCCATAAGGCACATCACAACCTTCTTGTGCTTAGGGATACTAGATAGACAGTACTTTAGCACTACACTTGGGGATCATTTTAAACACAAAAGTCATACCAAAAAAGCACACAAACATTAAATATGTGGCAGTAAACATACAGTGAAAATGTACACTATGGTCTGAAAGTTTGTGTCCCACCCAAATTCATACACTGAAATCCTTAGCCAGGCATGGTGGCTCATGCCTGCAATCCCAGCACTTTGGGAGATCAGGGCAGAAGGATGGCCTGAACCCAGGAGTTCCAGACCAGCCCTGGCAACATAGTGAGACCTCGTCTCTACAAAAAATACAAATATTAGCTAGGCATGATGGTGCGCAGCTGTAGCCCCAGCTACTTGGGAGGCTGAGGTGGGAGGATTGCTTGAGCCTGGGAGGTTGAGGCTGCAGTGAGTCGTGATCGTGCCACCATACTCCAGCCTGGGTGACAGATCAAGACCTTGTCTCAAAAAAAAAAACAAAAAAACAAAAAAAAACACCACAAACTTTGGGCTTATGCAAATATGGAGGTTGAGAAGTGCCACAATCTGCCATCTGCAAACTGGAGACTCAGAGAGGCCAGTGGTGTAGTTTAGAGGCCTGAGAACCAGAGGCCCGATGGTGGACATTCCAGTCCAGGTCTGAAGGCCTGAGATGCTGGAGCTCCGAGGGCAGGAGAAGACTGACGTCCCAGCTCAAACAGGCAGAGGGAGAGCGCATCCAACCTTTCTCAGCCTTTTTATTCTCAGGCCCTCAATGGATTGGATGATCCATATTGGAGAAGGCCACCTGCTTTACTCAGTCCACCGATTCAAATGTTAATCTCTTCTGAACACACTTTCCCAAGCATACCAGAAATAGTGTTTAATTAGATATGTGGGCATCCTGTGGCCCAGTTACATTGACACATAAAATTAACCACCACTGGCCTGGTACAGTGGCTCACGCCTGTAATCCCAGCACTTTGGGAAGCCAAGGTGGGTGGATCACCTGAGGTCAGGAGTTCAAGACCAGCCTGGCCACATGATGAAACCCCATCTCTACTAAAAATACAAAAATTAGCCGGGTGTGGTAGCACCCGCTTATAGTCCCAGTTACTCAGGAGGCTGAGGCAGGAGAATCATTTGAACCCAGGAGATGGAGGTTGCAGTGACCTGAGATTGCACCACTGCACTCTAGTCTGGGTGACAGAGGGAGACTCCGTCTCAAAAAAAAAAAAAATTAACCATCATAATGGGTAAGTTTATTTTTCATATCTTCCATTCTGTATTTTCTAATTTTTCTGCAAAGTACATTCAGTCATTGGAAATCAGAAAAGTTATTGTCTTTTTTGTTTTTAAATTTTTTTGTTGGTTTGAGACAGAGACTCACTCTGTCACCCAGGCTGGAGTGCAGTGGCATGATCTCGGCTCACTGCAACCTCTGCTTCCCGGGTTCAAGCAATTTTCCTGCCTCAGCCTCTCAAGCAGCTGGGACTACAGGCGTGTGACACCATGGCCAGCTAATTTTTGTATTTCTAGCGAAGATGGAGGGTTTTGCCAGTTTTGCCATGTTGGCCAGGCTGGTCTCAAACTCCTGACCTCCCGCCTCAGCCTCCCAAAGTGCTGGGATTACAAGCATGAGCCACCATGCCTGGTCAAGTTATATCTTTTTTAAGAGAGGAAGGAATTCTGTAAATTCAAGGTACTGTATCAAGATCCTGAGCCTAATGTCACCCTTTGACAAGCTCAGTAGAACTCCAGCTGGAAAAATTTCTAGATAATGCTCTCATGCAGATTTTTCAAAACTTAAGTATGAATCTTGGCACAAAATGTGCTCGCTCATCCACATAAATCTCATTACTGAGGCAATAAACCTTGCAATTGCTTGTGCTGTCTGCAACGGCAAGAGCTGCAGTATCCAAAGCCCAGCCTGGCCAAACTCCCCTCACAAATCAGATATTCAACCTCACAGGAAAAGAGAATCACTGTTAATTAATAACAACAAAGGATTAGGCCAGTGGTTCTGAACCCGGGACAACTCTACTCCCCTCCTCCCCCCAGGGGACATTTGGCAGTGTCTGGAGACAGTATTTGGTTGTCGTTGACTAGGAGGTGCTCCTGGCATCCAGTGGATAGATCCCAGGAATGCTGCTGAACATCTTACAATGCATGGGACAGTCCCCACCCCGCCCCACAGCAAAGAAGTATTAGTCCCCAAATGTCAATAGGAGTACGGTTGAGAAACCCTGGCTCTTCAGACATATGGAGCCTTATTAGATCTTCCTGGGCTAAGAGCTTTACAGGAAAGATCTCATTTAATCCTCACAGCAATCCTAGGTATAGGGCCTATTATCATGCCCATTTTACAGAAAAGGAAACTGAGGCTAAGAATCACATACCATTTCTAGGCCGGGCACGGTGACTCATGCCTGTAATCCCAGCACTTTGGGAGGCCAAGGCAGGTGGATCACCTGAGGTCGGGAGTTTGAGACCAGCCTGGCCAACATGGAGAAACCCTGTCTCTACTGAAAATACAAAAATTATCTGGGTGTGGTGGTGGGCACCTGTAATCCCAACTACTTAGGAGGCTGAGGCAGGAGAATTTCTTGAACTCAGGAGGCAGAGGTTGCAGTAAACTGAGATCGCGCCACTGTACTCCAGTGTGGGTGACAGAGCAAGACTCCGTCCCAAAAAAAAAAAAAAAAAAAAAAATCATGTGGTATTTCTGACTTCAGCGTTTGTACTCTGCTCTCCTCCATGCCCAAATTGTTGAGTTATTGCTCTGTTGTTGTTTTGAGGTAAGGTCTCAGTCTGTTACCCAGCCTGGAGTGGAGTGGAGTGGTGCAATCAAGGCTCACTGCAGCTTCAAACTCATAGGCTCAAGCAATCCTCTTGCCTCAGCCTCCTGAGTAGCTTGGAGTACACAACCACATGCCACCACACCTGGTGAATTTTTGTATTTTTTGTAGAGATGGAGGTCTACGCTGTGTTGGCCAGGCTGGTCTCAAACTCCTAAGCTCAAGCAATCCTCCCACCTCGGCCTCTCAAAGTGCTGGGATTACAGGCATAAGCCACCAGACCTGGCCTGTTGTTTTTAATTATGGAAATTTTCAGGTATAAACAAAAGTAGAGAAACCAATTGAACAACCCTGCATGGTCCCTCTACCCAGCTTCAGAGCTTCAGGCAGAACCTCAAGCACAACATGCTTCCCTGCAATCAAGAATCCCTCAACAAGCCAAGATGAATCACACCAGGCCTGGGCCCTTGGGAACACATGAGTTCCTCCTTCAGGTCGCTGGAAACGCGTTCCCTCTTCCTTTACAGGTTTTGATCATATCCCCCATCAGCTGTTGCCTTTCCCAGCAGAAAAGTTAGACGTAAGATCATCTGTTCTCTCCCTACTTTAAGTGTCACCTCCTTTTCTGAGAGGTGAGAAAATAGTTTTCTCCCTAAGGAAAGCTGAGATGGGGAGAACATATGCTCAGAAACAGATAATCTTGCCACCAAAATTGTTAGTAGCAGGGAGGAGCTAGTATTTGCAACGTGGGGTGCAAAGCAGCTCCCTCCATGTCTGCCTGCATACATAAATCCTTATGAGAATAGGTGGCAATTTCTTTTATTCAAACAAATGCTCTCTAGTTTCTGCTTTGTGCGAAGCTCAACTGTGCTCAATCCTGAATACAGATGACAGGCAAAACAGTCAGCTGGCTTCTTTCAAATGAAGTCAGGCCTTCATGAGGGATGGAGAAACTGGGCTTGCATCCCAGATAGGGGCTTCTGTTAATCCCTATTAATGTTGGAACTGAATTGCATGTGCTGGGAAGCAGCAGAAGGGATTGCTGTGAACATGAACTTTGGAATTAGACAGCTCTGGGTTCCAAGTCCAGCTCTCCCACTAATTAGCTGTGTGACCCTGGGTAAGTCATTCAACCTCTCTGAACCACATGTCCTTGCCTGGAAAGTGAGGACTGTTCATGCAACATGTTGGAGCCCCTATTATGTTCCAATTAATGTTTGCTATTATTTTTATTTTATTTTACTTTTTTAAGATGGAGTCTCGATCTGCATCCAGGCTGGAGTACAGTGGCATGATCTCGGCTCACTGCAACCTCTACCTCCTGGGTTCGAGTGATTCTCATGACTCAGCCTCCTGAGTAGCTGGGATTACAGGCGTGCACCACCACACCTGGCTAATTTTTTTTTTTTTTTTTTTTTTTTTTTTTGAGCTGGAGTTTCACTCTTGTTGCCCGGGCTGGAGTGCAATGGCATGATCTCGGCTCACTGCAACCTCCGCCTCCTGGGTTCAAGTGATTCTCCTGACTCAGCCTCCCGAGTAGCTGAGATTACAGGTGCCTGCCACCACGCTAGGCTAATTTTTGTATTTTTAGTAGAGACAGGGTTTCACCATGTTGGCCAGGCTGGTCTCGAAATTCTGAACCCAGGTGATCCACCTGCCTTGGCCTCCCAAAGTGCTGGGATCACAGGTGTGAGACACCATGCCTGTGCCTGGCTAATTTTTGTATTTTTAGTTGAAACGAGATTTCGCCACGTTGACCAGCTGGTCTGGAACTCTTGACCCTCAAGTGATCCTCCCACCTTGGCCTCCCAAAGTGCTGGGATTACAGGCATGAGCCACCGTGCCCAGCCAAATGTTTGCTAATATTTTTATGACTACTCAGAACCCTACCATTTTTCATTTGTTCTTCCCAAAATCTCTGCCTGGGACACTGTGGTCGATTGCAAAAATAGCCACAAATTATTCTCCTGTATGGGGCCCTGTGGTGTTGCCTTCTACCCTGACTCTGGCCTTGACCATGGACCATACCTTGGCTAAAGAGATATCAGTGAATGTGAAACAAACAGGGGCTTAAAAAGAGCTTGCATATGGAGCTTGCCATCTCTTGCTACACTTGAATCCCAGCCACCAATTGAAGAAGCTCAGGCTCTTCTGCTGGAGGATGAGAGTCCCAATGCCCAGGCATACCCCATCACTCCAGCCCACAGCTGTCAACCACCAGATATGTGAGGGAGGCCACCCTAGACCACCCAGACATGAGCTGACGTTCCAGCTGACACACTCACAGCCAAGCCAGACCCCAGAATGGTGAGCTACATAAATGCTATTGTTTTAAGCCACAAACACCTGGGGATGGTTTGTTAGACAGCAATAGATAATGAATACAAATACGTAATCTTCCCACTTTAGGGATGAAGAAACTGAGGCTCAAAGAGGCTTGGCCAAGACCACAGAGCCAGCACTCAATGTCATTCCCTCTACCATGCAGCGGGCTCCCCTCTGCCATCTCCAGCCGCCTGAAGCAGGGCCCAGCATGAATGAGACAGCTGGCAGAGTGAGAGCTGTGCTCACCACCTCAGCTCAGTGGCCCCCTGGGGGACCTGGGCCGTGACCTTGGCCTCATTACTGCATCGGACCTGTAATCAGATGCTTAGAAGGTCTGCAGAGATCCACCCAGCCTGGATCATGGGGTAGAGACCCGCACGGCAAGCTGGAAGATGTAGCCTCTTTGAAATCACACCATTCACTGGGGGACTCTCAAGGGTTCATCACACTCCACTGGGTCCTGGCCATCTGCTCTGTCCATTTGATGGACAAATGGACAGCAAAGAGGGCTAGGGATGTATGACCTTTCTAAAATATGTATGAATAAAAAAACACTTTCTTTAGACAAGACAGAATAAGAATAGCGAAAAATACCCAGCAGCTCCCTTTACCGAGCATGCCCTGCATTGGAGACACTTAGGTCACCACTGTACACCCATTGTCCTTTTTATCCTCCCCCCAAACCCCACTGGGTGGAATATAAAGCTGCAGAGACAGCCAGGCACAGTGGCTCACACCTGTAATCCCAGCACTTTGGGAGGCTGAGGCGGGCGGATCACCTGAGTTCAGGAGTTTGAAACCAGCCTGCCAACCATATTGAAACCCCATCTCTACTAAAAATAAAAAACAATTAGTTGGGTGTGGTGGTACACGCCTGTAATCCCAGCCATTCTGGAGGGTGAGGCACGAGAATTGCTTGAACCTGGGAGGCGGAGGTTGCAGTAAATCAAGATCGCGCCACTGCACTCTAGTCTGGGAGACAGAGCAAGACTCTCTCTCTCAAAAAAATAAAAAATAAAAAATAAATAAAGCCTCCGAGTTAAAAGTGAAGAGCACTGATTGAGAACTCAGGCTGCCTGGGTTTAAATCCTGGCTCGGCTATTTACCAGCAAGTGATTTGACTTCCCTGTGTCACATCTTTCTCATCTGTAAAATGGGGATATAACAATAGCACCTAGTTCATGGGGCTGTTATGAAGAGTAAGGAAGCTAGTGAATGTGAATTACTTGCCGGGTGCGGTGGCTCACGCCTGTAATCCCAGCACTTTGGGAGGCTAAGGCGGGCGGATCACCTGAGGTTGGGAGTTTGAGACCAGCCTGACCAAAATGGAGAAACCCCATCTCTACTAAAAATACAGAATTAGCCGGGTGTGGTGGCGCATGTCTGTAATCCCAGCTACTCAGGAGGCTGAGGCAGGAGAATCACTTGAACCCGGGAGGCAGAGGTTGCAGTGAGCCGAGATTGTGCCATTGCACTCCAGCCTGGGCAACAAGAGCAAAACTCTGTCTCAAAAAAAAAAAAAAAAGTGAATTACTTAAAACAAGATCTGGCACACAGCTGACCCTCAGTGGATGCTAGCTGTCATCATTAACATGATTTTACAGATGAGGAAACTGAGGCTCAAATGGGTGACTTCATTGATAAATTTCACTTAGCTAAGTCAGTGGTAGAGCTGAATTTTGCACCCTGGTCTGACAGATACTTTTTTTTTTTTTAAAGAGATGGGGTCTCACTATGTTGCCCAGGCTATAGTGCAGTGGCTATTCCCAGGTACAATCACAGTGCACAGCAGCCTCAAACTCCTGGGCTCAAGCAACTTTCCTGCCTCACCCTCCTCAGTAGCTGGGACTACAGGTGTCTACCACTGCACCTGTCTCATTTGGTCTGACAGGCTCTTTATTTTATTTTGTTTTTATTTTTTCGAGGTGGGATCTCACTGTGCTGCACAGGCTGGTCTCAAACTCCCGGCCTCAAGCAATCCTCCCACCTCGGCCTCCCCAAGTGTTGGATTACAGGCATGAGCCACTGCTTCTGGCCTGGTCTAATAGACTCTTAATTACAACCCCATGGCCTCTGGAAGTTCCAGGACTATCTGTCCACAGCACAGGATCCTGTCTCTGCAGGCCAGAGTTCCTGCACTAAAGTCAAATGAGGATTTCCTCTTTAAGGTCCTGGCTATACAAATGGATTGCAGTCTGATTTCTCAGAAATCACATCCAGGCCTTAAAACCCATGTAAAGGGCTGGGCATGGTGGCTCATGCCTGTAATACCAGCACTTTGGGAGGCCGAGGCAGGCAGATCATGAGGTCAGGAGATTGAGACCATTCTGGCCAACATGGTGAAACCCCATCTCTACTAAAAATACAAAAATTAGCCGGGTGTGGTGGTGGGCGCCTGTAGTCCCAGCTACTCAGGAGGCTGAGGCAGGAGAATCACTTGAACTCGGGAGACAGAGGTTGCAGTGAGCCAAGATCTCACCACTGCACTCCATCCTGGTGACAGAGTGAGACTCTGTCTCAAAACAAAAAAAGCCTATGTAAAGACTTTTGCTACAACATTTATCACACTGTGTTGCAATTATTTGCTCTTCTGATCCTCTTTCCTACTAATACGAATGCTACCTGTGTGCTAAGCGTCCGTATATATACATTGCCCCATCTAATCTGCATAAACACCCAGCAAGGTATATTGATTAGACCTATTCTACAGATCAAGAAACTGAGGCTCAGAGTGGTGAAGGCATTTGATCCCCAGAATGCAGTTGAAGTTCAGAGATGGGTCTAATTTTGTCACGAGCCCATCCAGCACACCACGGGACATTTTCCTGCTAACAATAATAAACTCAGCAGTTGTTAAACACATGCCACGTGCTAGGCCAGGTACTAAGTGTTTCACATGCATAGCTCATGTTTCCTCAAAACATCCCAAATAGATAGAGACAATTATTCTCTCCTTTTAAAAGAGGCTGGGCATGGTGGCTTGTACCTGTAATCCCAGCACTTTGAGAGGCCAAGGCAGGAGGATTGTGTGAGCTCAGGAGTTCAAGACCAGCCTGGGTAACATAGCAAGACCTTGTCTCTATTAAAAATTTTAAAATTAAAAAAAATAGTTGAGTGTGTTGGTACATGCCTATAGTCTCAGCTACTTGGGAGGCTGAGGCAGGAGGATCACTTGAACTGGAGAGATGAAGGCTGCAGTGAGCTGTGATTGCACTACTGCCCTTCAGCCTAGGCAACAGAATGAGATCCTGTCTCAAAACAACAACAACAACACAACCCCCGCCAACACATACACACACACACACACACACACACACACACACACACACACACACACACACACAGATAAAACTGGTTGGGCACAGTGGCTCTTGTGTAGTCCCAGCACTTTGGGAGGCCAAGGCAGGCAGATTGCTTGAGCTCTGGAGTTCAAGACTTGCCTGGGTAACATGGCAGGAACTCATCTTTACAAAAAAAAATACAAAAATTAGCCGGGCATGGTGGTGTGAGCCTGTGGTCCCAGCTACATGGAAGGCTGAGGTGGGAGGATCACCTGAGTTCGGGAGGTCGAGGCTGCAGTGAGCCGTGATTGCGCCACTACACTCCAGCCTGGATGAAAGATGAGACCCTGTCTCAAAAATAAAAAATAAAGAGAGAGAGAGAAAAAAAAAAACTAAGGCTCAGAGAGGTCCAGGAACCTATCCAGGGTCACACATCTTTTAGAAGATGCCACTGGGATTTTTTTTTTTTTTTTTTTTTGAGATGGAGTCTCACTCTGTCACCCAGGCTGGAGTGCAGTGTGCGATTTCAGCTCACTGCAACCTCTACCTCTACCTCCCAGGTTCAAGTGATTCTCGTGCCTCAGCCTTCCGAGTAGCTGGGATTACAGGTGCACATCACCATATGCAGCTGGGATTTGAACCTACTTCAAACTACAACATCTGTGGACTTTTTACTCCATTTACTGCCTCTGTAAACAACCTCAAGTGCAGGGACCACCATGATTTCCATTCATCTGAATTTTCCCAAAGCCCAACAGGGTTCACCAGGTGATGAAATATTTACTGGGCATATTAGTGATGAAAGGAATGGGGCCCTGGATATGTCTCTACGTGCCCATGCAGGTTCCCTGGGTCTGCACTTCACATGGGGCATCTGTTCAGTACATGAGCCATGAAAATGGAAGCTGACTTCCTCATTATAACCCTTATTCTGGTGGTATGGCCTCTGATGAAGTATTACTTCTTTCTTTCTTTTTTTTTTTTTTTTTTTGAAATGCAGTCTCACTTTGTTGCCCAGGCTGGAGTCCAATAGCGCAATCTTGGTTCACTGCAGCCTCTGCCTCCCAGGTTCAAGAAATTCTCCCACCTCAGCCTCCCTAATAGCTGGGATTACAGTCGAACACCACCACGCCCAGCTAATTTTTTTTTTTTTTTTTTTGAGATGGAGTCTCACTCTGTTGCCCAGGCTGGAGTGCAGTGGTGCGATCTCAGTTTACTGCAACCTCTGCCTCCTGGGTTCAAGCGATTCTCCTGCCTCAGCCTCCTGAGTAGCTGGGATTACAGGTGTGCACCACCATGCCTGGCTAATTTTTGTATTTTTAGTAGAGACGGGGTTTCACCGTGTTGGTCAGGCTGGTCTCGAACTCCTGACCTCATGATCTGCCCGCCTCGGCCTCCCAAAGTGTTGGGATTACAGGCGTGAGAGCCACTGTGCCCGGCCTTAATTTATGTATTTTTAGTAGAGACAGGATTTCACCATGTTGGCAAGGCTGGTCTTGAACTCCTGAACTCAGGTGATCTGCCTGCCTCAGCCTCCCAAAAGTGCTGGGATTACAAGTGTGAGCCACCATGCTCAGCCGAAGTATTATTTAATAAGCCAGCTGTTTTTTTTTGTTTTGTTTTGTTTCCAGAGATGGGGTCTTGCTATGTTGCCCAGGATGGTCTCAAATTCCTGGGCTCAAGCGATCCTCCCACCTCAACCTCCCAAAGTGCCTGGATTGCAAGCATGAGCCACCACCCCGGCCCAAGCCAGCTGTTTTTGCTTACACTCCTTTAAAAGCTTTTGAGGATCCAGAAAAAGCAAAGAGCAATTAACTTATAACAGGCTGAGCTTTCTCTGCTGCCCGGCTTTGGCTATTACATGGTTTAGCTGGGCACAAGTAACAAACTGTGAACATCCTGCCCTGGAAGGTTCACAGCCACAAATAAAAAACAAATCTTTCTATGGGAATAGCGAGGAAAGGGCTGTTGGTCACACTTGGGGCTTTGAAAACACATCCCACATCCCCAGAGCTGACAGGAACTCCTATGAGGAGATCACCTTAGATCATGCAGGCCAATTACATGTCAGAATAAGAACTGACAATCTTGCCAGGTGCAGCAGCTCAAGCCTGTAAGCCTAATACTTTGGGAGGCCAAGATGGGAGGATCACTTGAGCCCATGAGGTTGAGGCTGCAGTGAGCCATGATCACGCCACTGCACTCCACCACGGGTGACAGAGCAAGACCCTGCTCAAATACAACAATAACAACACAAAAGGAGAAAACAAAAAAATAACTGACAATCTGGTGATATGAAAAGAGAAGTGGCTGGGCGTGGTGGCTCACACTTGTAATCCCAGCACATTGGGAGGTCGAGGCGGACAGATTGCTTCAGTCCAGGAGTTCGAGACCAGCCTGGGCGACATGGTGAAACCCCGTCTCTACTAAAAATACAAAAAACTAGCCGGGCATGATGGTACATGACTGTAGTCCCAGCTACTCAGGAGGTTAACATGGGAGAATCATCTGAGTCCGGGAGTTAGAGGCTGCAGTGAGCCGAGATCGTACCACTGCACTCCAGCCTGGGCAACCACAGCGAGATTCTATCTAAAAATAAAAAAAGGAAAATAAAAGAAAAGGGAAGAAAAAATGGAATTCTAGATCATGAATCTTAAGAATCCTCTGGTCTTTGATCTAGTATTATTAGCTCCACTGCTATGGGACAAATCACTCAGAACATATTGGCCTAAAACACCAAAGTCATTGATTACCTCTTATCTCCTGTGGGTTAGGAATTTGGGAGCAGCCTGGCTGTGTGGCTCTGGTTGGAGGTCTCTCGTGAGTCTGCAATCGGATGAAGGCTTGACTGAGATCTCACATCCACTTCCAAGGCGTTTCACCCACATGGCTGACAAACCGGTGCTGGCTGTTGGCAGGAAGCCTCAGCTCCTTGTCAGGTGGGCGTCTCCACAGGCTGTTGGGGTGTCCTCAGCACGGCAGCTGGCTTCTCACAGATTGAGCGATTCAAGAAACTCAAGGGAGAAGCTGCAATGCCTTTAATGACCCAGCCTTGAAAGTCACACGGGGTCACTTCTGCTATATTCTTTTTTTTTCTTTTTTTTTTTTTTGAGACGGAGTTTCGCTCTTGTTGCCCACGCTGGAGTGCGATGGCACGATCTCGGCTCACCGCAACCTGCACCTCCCAGGTTCAAGCGATTCCCCTGCCTCAGCCTCCTGAGTAGCTGGGATTACAGGCACGTGCCACCACACCCGGCTAATTTTGTATTTTTAGTAGAGATGGGGTTTCTCCATGTTGGTCAGGCTGGTCTGGAACTCCCGACCTCAGGTGATCTGCCCAAGTCAGCCTCCCAAAGTGTTGGGATTACAGGCGTAAGCCACTGTGCCTGGCCGCTTCTGCCATATTCTATTGTCTACTTGGGCTAGCCTGGTTCAGGGTGGAAGGCGACTGCACGGGGGCAGTGTCTTAGTCATTTGTAGCTGCCATAACAGAATATTGCAGGCTGAATGGCTTAAACAACAGGAATTTATTGCTCCCAGCTTTGGAACATGGAAGTTTGAGATCAAGGTGCCAGCATGGTTGGGTTCTGGTGAGGGACCTCTTCCTGGTGTACAGATGGCCGCCTTCTCATTTTGTCCTCACATGGTGGAGAGAGTGAGCTCTGGCCTCTTCAGCCTCTTACAAGGAAACTAATTCCATCATGGGGACTCTATCCTTATGACCTCCTCAAACCCAATTACCTCCAAATCCACCACATTAGGGGTTAGGGCTTCAATGAGAAGACACACAAGCATTTGGTGCATAGCAGGCATGAGTACAAGAAGACATGGGTTGTTGGGGCCATCTTGGAGGTACATTGCCAGTTCTGAGAATCCGGCCTAAGGATGAACAGCAGGTATTACCAACGTTTTAGGCACAAAGATGTTCATTACAGCATTATTTCTAATAGTAAGAAATTTGAGACATCTATATGAGATTGGCTGAGTTAACTCCAGCACAGCCATGCAATGGAATAAAGGATATATCCATGCAGATGTCCAGATAAAGGACTGGGAAGACACCACCACACTTTGAGCAACGATTATTTCTGTGGCTGGGCATGCGATTGAGTGGTATATGTAGAAAACTGAGGCTCACGGAGTCCCAGTGTGGGACCAAATGCAGGAAGGAAAGAAGTAGGTTCTTAAAATCTATTCTGCCACAGTTGCGTTCTCCTTAACCCCCTAGAGAATGGAATCTGGGGGGCCGGGCGCGGTGGCCCAAGCCTGTAATCCCAGCACTTCGGGAGGCTGAGGTGGGTGATCACTTGATATCAGGAGTTCAAAATCAGCCTGACCAACATGGTAAAGCCCCGTTTCTACTAAAAATGCAAAAATTAGCTGGACATGGTGGCGCGTGTCTGTAATCCCAGCTACTCAGGAGGCTGAGGCAGGAGAATTGCTTGAACCCAGGAGGCGGAGGTTGCAGTGAGCCAAGATCACACCACTGCATTCCAGCCTGGGTGACAAAGAAAGACTTCATCTCAAAAAAAAAAAAAAAAAAGAAAGAAAATGGAAGCTGGGCACTTTAGCTTCTGAATACCCACTACCACATGACTAAAACATCCCTTTAACCAAACTGTGTCTTTTCAAATCAGAGGCCTAGCAGCCACCAATGGGGTTTGATCCTAAGCAATAGCCTGTCCAGCTAGATGCCAGGGATTGACTCTCATCCACCTCTCTAATCCTCTCTGTCACCTACACCGATTAGGACACTGAGCACTCCAGACAAGGAAAGACCATGGGAGGCCAGGCACGGTGGCTCACGCCTGTAATCCCAGCACTTTGGAAGCCTCAGGCAGGTGGATCACGAGGTCAGGAGATCGAGACCATCCTGGCCAACGTGGTGAAGCCCGTCTCTACTAAAAATACAAAAATTAGCCGGGCATGGTGGCAGGTGCCTGTAATCCCAGCTACTCAGGAGGAGGCTGAGGCAGGAGAATTGCTTGAACCTGGGAGGCAGAGGTTGCAGTGAGCTGAGATCGTGCCACTGCACTCCAGCCAAGGTGACAGAGTGAGATGGAAGGAGGGAAGGAAGGAAGGAAGAGAGGAAGAGAGGGAGGGAGGGAGGGAGGGAAGGAAGGAAGGAAGGGCGAGCCATGGGCTACCCCTTCTCCTGTTGATGAGAAACAGGTGTTCATCCTCTTCCTTATTCCCCTCCCCCAGTTCAGTGGGAAATCACCAGCCATTTTTCTTGACCTCAGCACATTCATTATCCAGGGATTGCAAAGAAAAGGAGACCATTTCTGGAAGAAATATATGGCTCCATCTGTCCCTGTTTCCCTAAGGCTCCTAAGTTTCAAAAAGCTTTTTGCAGATGAAAATACAGGTTTGT
The DNA here is from genome assembly GCF_000001405.40 of Homo sapiens. Classification (NCBI taxonomy): domain Eukaryota; kingdom Metazoa; phylum Chordata; class Mammalia; order Primates; family Hominidae; genus Homo; species Homo sapiens. The sequence continues at coordinate 108,762,559 of NC_000012.12, forward strand.
CTTTCCTTCCTTCTTTTCTTTCTCTTTCTCTTTCTTTTTTCTTTCTTTCTTTCCTTTCTTTCTTAGATGGAGTCTCACTCTGCTGCCCAGGCTAGAATGCAGTGGTAGGATCTCGGCTCACTGCAACCTCTACCTCCCAGGTTCAAGTGATTCTCGTGCCTCAGCCTCCCGAGTACCTGGGATTACAGGTGCCTGCCACCACGCCTGGCTAAGTTTTGTATTTTTAGTAGAGACAAGGTTTCACCATGTTGGTCAGGCTGGTCTCAAACTCCTGACCTCCAGTGATCTGCCTGCCTTGGCCTCCCAAAGTGCTGGGATTATAGGCGTGAGCCATTGCAGCCAGCTGAAAATACAGGTTTCTTCCGGCCAGACTGCTGCAGTCCCTGCAGACCCAATGGCATCTTTTTCTGGGGTTTAGGACAATTATATCCCTAAGGAAGAACAGGCTGATCAGCTGATAGAATGGGATGCTAACTTTCCCCCCACCTCAGTCAGCAAGCCGGATGTGACAGAATAACAAGACTTTCTGCTATGATTTTAACACTAATAAAGTAGTTTGACAGATGGGCACAAGCTGTGGTGACAAACAGACCCTGCTTTGACTTCCATCTCTGCCAAAGATGTACTGTGTGGCCCTGGGCAAGTCACTTCACCTCTCTGTGCCCCCATTTGCTAACTTAAAAAGGAAAGAGTAATATGGCCTACCTCTCATGGTTGCTGCGAGAGTTAATTAGATATCATTTAAATGCTTAGCAAGGTATGCTGGGCGCAGTGGCTCACGCCTGTAATCCCAGCACTTTGGGAGGCCGAGATGGGAGGATCATGAGGTCAGGAAATCGAGACCATCCTGGCTAACATGGTGAAACCCCATCTCTACTAAAAACACAAAAAATTAGCCAGGCTTGGTGGCGGGTGCCTGTAGTCCCAACTACTCGGGAGGCTGAGGCAGGAGAATGGCTTGAACCCGGGAGGCGGAGCTTGCAGTGAGCCAAGATTGCGCCACTGCACTCCGGCCTGGGTGACAGAGCGAGACTCCACCTCAAAAAAAAAAAAAAAAATGCTTAGCAAGGTATATAACCTAATAAGAGCATTAAAAATAGTTGCCATAATTATTATATTATTGCAAATTCAGAAGACATCTTATTGGGGAAGGAGATGATGGCAGGATGTAAACGTTGTAAATCTGAAAATACCGCAGTACTGTGAGCGGCTTCCCTTGCTCATGCTCTCTGGCTAAATTATTTCCACTTGGGAATTTTGGTGCTTCTTTTTTATCACTTCGTGGTTTTGTTTTTGTTTTCATTTTGTTTTGTTTTTGTTTTTGTTGTTGTTGTTGTTTTTGACATGGAGTCTTGCTCTGTCGCCCAGGCTGGAGTACAGTGGCACGATCTCGGCTCACTGCAACCTCCGCCTCCTGGGTTCAAGCAATTCCCCTGTCTCAGCCTCCCGAGTAGCTGGGATTACAGGCGTGTGCCACCACACCCGGCTGATTTTTGTATTTTTGGTAGAGATGGGGTTTCACCGTGCTGGCCAGGCTGATCTCAAACCCCGGACCTCGAGTGATCCACCCGCCTCAGCCTCCTAAAGTGCTGGGATTACAGGCATGAGCCACTGCACCTAGTCACTTTGTGGTTTGTTTATCCAGAAAGGCGGAAAAAGCCAGGCATGGTGGCTCACACCTGTAATCCCAGCACTTTGGGAGGTCAAGGTGGGCGGATCACTCGAGGTCAGGGGTTCTAGGCCAGCCTGGCCAACATGGCAAAACCCCTGTCTCTATTAAAAATACAAAAAAAATTTGCCAGGCATGGTGGCAAATACCTGTAATCCCAGCTACTCGAGAGGCTGAGGTAGGAGAATCACTTGAGCCCGGAAGGCAGAGGTTGCAGTGAGCAGAGATCTCACCACTGCACTGCAGCCTGGGTGACAGAGCAAGAGTCTGTCTAAAAACAACAAAAAAACAAAACAACAACAATAGCAAAATAGAAAGGAGGAAAAGCATGGGGACTAATCCGGGAGCAGAGCCTAAGGAACCAGATTCAAAACCAGACCCTGCTGGCCTGGATGAAGTCTTTGTGCACATTATGAAAAGCTGCCCAGTGTGACTATGGGGAAACTGCTGAGCCACGCTGGGCCTCAGTTTCTTCATCTCTGAAATGGGGATAAATAAGAAGATCTATCTCACTGGAATATTCAGAAGATCACTGTACGAACTGGTGCACACTCTCAAGCATGCTGGGTTTTTGTTGGTTGGTTGGTTGGTCGTTTTTTTTTTCTTTTTGAGACAGAGTCTCACTCTGTTGCCCAGGCTGGAGTGTAGTGGCACGATCATGGCTCACTGCTGCCTGGACCTTCTGGGTTCAAGTGATCCTCCTGCCTCAGCCTCCTGAGTAGCTGGGACTGCAGGTGTGTGCCATGACACTTTTGTATTTTTTGTAGAGAAGTGGTTTCACCCTGTTGCTCAGGCTGGTCTCGAATTCCTGGACTCAAGTGATCCTCCCACCATGGCCTCCCAAAGTGCTGAGATTACAGGTGTGAGCCACCTCAGCCTACAAGCATGTTACAAATACCATTTATGAGCTGATCTTTCCCTTAGGCAACACCCCCGACACACACACATTTTCTGTTAACCTGGGAACAAGGTCAAATCTTTTCCATCTCAAGGGAAAAATTATCTCCCATAACCTTGCATCAACCTTCAATACCAGTCTTAACCCCTTCACCAACAAACTTTTTGAGAGTTGTAGCCCACTTGCTGCCTCCCCCTCCTCGCTTCTGCTTTGGCTCTTTCTCTCTCCCCACCCTGAATCTTCTCTTTCCAAGGACAAATTCCTAGGGCCGGATCCAGGGCCTCCTAGTCCGGGTTTGCAGGCCTGCCTGGTGACCCTGACACGGCACTGCTCTCTGCTGCCTTCACTCTTTCTCCCTCTGGCCACCTCTCCAATGTTCGTGTCCCCAGGGCCCTCCCCCGCCCCTTCTTCTTGCCGTTTCATTCTCTCCTGGGCAGGCCCATGCATTCCCAAATCTGCTGGGCCCACACCTCCAGGGCCGAGCAGCCAGTGGCCATCTCCATGTGGCAGTTCCACAGGCCCCTCAGGTGGAGCTTATCCCCGTCCTGACACCTGACTTCCCTCCTGGGTTCCCATTTCAGGAAACACCCCACTGTCCACTCAGCTGCCCAAGCCAGACCGAGGTGCTTCCCTCATCCTTCACCAGTCACCAAGGCCCATCAATTTAGGCTGGGTGTGGTGGCTCATGCCTGTAATCCCAGCACTTTGGGAGGCCGAGGTGGGCGGATCACGAGGTCAAGAGATCGAGACCATCCTGGCCAACATGGTGAAACCTCATCTCTACTAAAAATACAAAAATTAGCTGTGCGTGGTGGTGCATGCCTGTAGTCCCAGCTACTCGGGAGGCTGAGGCAGGAGAATCGCTTAAACCCGGGAGGCAGAGGTTGCAGTGAGCTGAGATCGCGCCACTGCACTCCAGCCTGGCAACAGAGCAAGACTCCGTCCCAAAAAACAAACAACAACAACAACAACAAATTTAGCCTTCTGAAGTTCTCTTGCCATCATCCTCTCACCTCCATCCCACCATCCCACTCTGATCCAGGCCATTCATCCATTCAGTGGCCTTTCATTGTGCACCTACTGTGTTCTAGGGACCATGCAAGGCACTGGGCACGTACATCTCTCCCTGAATCCTTAGAACCCATCCTTACTGGTCTCCTCCACAAAACACTTCCCACCCAGAACCCTGCGTGAACGCTAGCACTGTGCTGTCTACAGAACTTTCTGCAATGCTGGAAATGTTCTCTATCTGTGCTGTCCAATAGGGTAGCCACAAGTAGCCATTGAGCACTTAAAACAGGGCACGTGTGACAAGGGAACAGAATTTCTCATTTAGTTTTATTTAAATTAATTTATTTAATTAACTGTTTTAATATTTAATTTATTTAAATTATTTTAGTTTTATTTAAATTTATTTAACTAGCGGCTGCCACATGGGACAGTGCAGCTCTAGAGGGAAAAGCTGACCACATCCTTTGCAGTTTGCAGCCCCTCCTTGGCTCCCCAGAGCCCTCAGGGTCAAGTCCAATGACCTACAAGGCCTGGCATGGTCTGCGTCCCGCCCACTGCCCCAGCTGGCTCTCCACCTGTGACACTGGTTGCTTAGAGTTTGTGGAAGCCAGGGCGCTCACCTCTACCTCCGGGCCTTTGCACCAGTTCTTTTTTTGTTTTTTGAGACTGAGTCTCACTCTGTCTCCCAGGCTAGAGTGCAGTGGCGCGATCTCAGCTCACTGCAACCTCCACCTCCTGGGTTCAAGCAATTCTCATGCCTCAGCCTCACGAGTAGCTGGGATTACAGACACCTGCCACCACGCCTGGCTAATTTTTGTACTTTTAGTAGAGATGGGGTTTCCCCATGTTGGCCAGGCTGGTCTCGAACTCCTGAACCTCAAGTGATCCGCCTGCCTCGGCCTCCCAAAGTGCTGGGATACAGGTGTGAGGTGAGCCACCACACCTGGCCCACCAGTTCTTCTTTTTTTTTTTTTTTTTTTTGAGATGGAGTCTTGCTCTGTCACCAGGCTAGAGTGCAGTGGTGTGATCTCGGCTCACTGCAACCTCTGCCTCCCGGGTCCAAGTGATTCTCCTGCCTCAGCCTCCCAAGTAGCTAGGACTACAGGCTTGCACCACCACGCCCAGCTAATTTTTTTTTTTCCTATTTTTAGTAGAGATGGGTTTCACATTGTGGCCAGGATGGTCTCCATCTCTTGACCTTGTGATCCGCCCACCTCTGCCTCCCAAAGTGCTGGGATTACAGGCATGAGCCACCGCACCTGGCCTCGCCCATCAGTTCTTTAGTCTGGTAGGAACACTCCCACACCCAATTCCCCACACAACCCCCATTTCTTCTCACTCTTTCACGCCCAATCCAGGGGTCCCTGTTGGACTTCTGTGATGGGGGCCCTCCTCCGTTCCATTTGGAAGCTTTGGGTCATGGCATGAGGCTATACCAGTGATGCCCTGTCCACATCAGCTGAGAGGTGTTCCCCAGGGATCGCCGAAGATCCTTCAGGGCAGTGGCCTCAGAGAGCTGATGGGTGGCACCGACAAGAGGTAGGACCCCTGGCCATTCCTGCTGAGAATCCAGCCTGTGTGGCTTTCATGGAGACGATCTGCATTATTAGCAGAAAAAAGCACGGGGCTTTAAAGTCAGACAGGCCTGGAAGGAGGGTGGAGGTTCAAATCCCATTTCTGCAACTTGAACCCACTCACTATAAGCTCAGTTTTTTGTTGTTGTTGTTGTTGTTTTTGAGACAAGAGTCTTGTTCTGTCTCCCAGGCTGGAGTGCAATGGCACGATCTCGGCTCACTGCAACTTCCACCTCCTGGGTTCACGCGATTCTCCTGCCTCAGCCTGCAGAGTAGCTGGAATTACAGGTGCCTTCCACCACGCCTGGCTAATGTTTGTATTTTTAGTAGAGACGGGGTTTTACCATGTTGGCCAGGCTGATCACAAACTCCCAACCTCAAGTGATCCGCCCACCTCGGCCTCCCAAAGTGCTGGGATTACAGGCGTGAGCCATCGTGCCCGGCCTCAGTTTTCATTTCAATAAAATGGAGTAACAGCATTTCCCGGGGAGGATTCTTGTAAGAGTTAGATATTGTAACCCTAGAAGTAGCTCCGTAGCTAGTTTTTTTAGGGAAAGGGAAAAGATTTGTATGGCCCAGATGCTGTCCTTATAATCCCACAGGTGGAGCCCTCCTCCCACAGAAATGAGGTCTTGTCTTCAGTTTTAAGAGTGAAAAACCAAAGTCCAATCTCTTTATCTCTGGTGGCAGAGATAAAGAAACTGAGGGTCAGAGAGGGCCAGGAGTTTGTCAGAAACCACAGGGCAAGTGGACAGCAATACTGAGAATGCAGACCCACGGATGCCCCCCGGGATAACTGTGCCTAGAATCTGTGGGTCCAATGGAGGGAAGAAAGCCCCCGAAAGGCGCTCACCTTTTCGGATGGGGTTTTCTGCCTTCTTCCTGTTGGACCTTGGGACTGGCCGGTCCCCTCTAGGGGAATCGGAGGCAGAGGCGCCTCCCGGAGTCCCCTGCGGGGCGCTCTGGAGCCTGTGCACCTGGAGGCCGGCAGACACTCCGGGCCTGCAGCGGGGACCCTCGGAGCTGGAGAGCTCCAGGAGGTGCAGGCAGCGCGCCACCTCCTCCAGACGGTACACGACGGGGCGTCGCGCCTCCAGGGCTAGGCCGGGCGGATGGAGGGGGTCCCCGGAGCCCGGGGGAAGTGGCGCAGTGGGCGTCTGCATCGGCCCGAAGGCACTTGCGCAGAGGTCCGGCAGGCAGCAGAGCACCTTGTGGGCGTGGTCGCTGGAGGCAGCGCCTGGCACCCCCATCTGGCACAGAGCGTCCCTGCCCTGCCCCCTGGGGCTGCGGAGGCCACCTCCACGCCCATTTGCCATCCCTGAGCCGCTTCTGCGACCTGTGGGGGTGGGGCGAGGGTGACTGGGCTTTCTCTTCCCCTTTCTTTGGAAGTTTCTATGACATCCCAAGCCCAAGAGCTGCTGGCATTGTGTCCTCCTCTCACCTGTCATCTGGGGGTCGGGGAGACAGACTGAACTCACCAAACCACAGAGCTCGCTGTGCACCCCTGAATGGGACACTATCTCTTCCTTCATTCAACAGACAGATCTGGGGCTGGGGTCAAGAGCCTCCCTCTTCCCATTGTGTGCTTAGGCAACTCTCTGAACCTCAGTTTTCTCATCTGTAAAATGGGAATGCTAAGAATAATACCATTTTAATAGTGTTTTCAGGATTAATAAGAAAACAACCAAAGTGTTTGGCATCCCGGAGGCCTGCAGCAAAGGGGCTGTTTCTGGTTTTGTTTTGTTTTGTTTTGAAACAGGGTCTCACTCTGTCACCCAGGTTGGAGTGCAGTGGAGCTGTGCAGCGGCGTGATCTCGGCTCACTGCAGTCTCTGCCTCCCAAGTTCAAGTGATTCTCCTGCCTCAGCTTCCTGAGTAGCTGGAATTATAGGTGTGCTGCATGCCCGGACATTTTTTGGATTTCTAGTAGAGAGGGGGTTTCACCATGTTGGCCAGGCTGGTCTCAAACTCCTGACCTCAAGTGATCCGCCTGCCTCGGCCTCCCAAAGTGCTGGGATTACAGGCGTGAGCCACAGCCCCCAGCTGGGGCTGTTTTTGTTGAACCCTTCCTCCACCCCTACCTTCCTGCCCCCTCAGCCCAAGGGAACCCCCTGCCTGGTCCACCCAGGAGCCCATCCCTGCTGAGCTTTGGGTTGAGCAGGGAGAATGGCTAAGGCCGAAGCTGGAACCAGCAAGAGACAGGCTCTGTGACCTTGGACAAGTAACTGCCTCTCTCTGGGCCTCAGTTTCCCCATCTGTAGAAGACAGGTGCTATACTGCAACAAGTCAGAGGGGCAGCAATGACCGGTACATTTATGGAGCACTTACTGTATGCTTCATGCTTCACCTGCTTCCTAACAACCTTATGAGGCCACCAGCCCCACGGTACAGGAAGCAAGGCTCAAAGAGGTGGAGCGAGGCGTCTACGGTCATACAGCTATAAGTAGGGTTGGTAGACTTGAACCCCAGCTCTCCTTTCTGAGTAGCATGTTCCCCTGGGGGCCTTGGGCTAACTTTGGAGGGGCTTCCACCTCCCCAGCCCTCCCTTCCTTCCAACCTCCATCGGGAGGCGCTCCCCTGGAGGAGCAGCTGCCGCTGGCCCCCACCAGGCTGGGCACAGAAGGCCAGGGCTGGGCATGTTCCCCTGGGGGCCTTGGGCTAACTTTGGAGGGGCTTCCACCTCCCCAGCCCTCCCTTCCTTCCAGCCTCCATCAGGAGGCGCTCCCCTGGAGGAGCAGCTGCCGCTGGCCCCCACCAGGCTGGGCACAGAAGGCCAGGGCTGGGCTGCTGCTCTGCCTCCAGCTAGCTGGGAGATGAGATGGACAAACACGGGAGAGTCGGCCTGTTGGGGGAGGGCATTCTGGAAACCTGCCCTGGCTCTCCGGGTCTGCACCCAATAGCCACAGAAATGGAGACTCAGTTCCTTCAGCAATCTGTGCCCCTACTATGTGCTTGGCACTGAGCAAGGTTCTGGGGTGGGGTGGAAAAAACGGGACACCTGTCTGTCCTCCAGGAGCTCACCCTAAGTCACAGAAGCCCGTGTTGATGGAGGATTTACTATGCGGACTGCCTCCTTTAGTTCTTACTACAGCCAAGTAATTGGTGCTAATATTATCCCCAAGTGAAGTATTTGGAAGACGAGGTCCAGAGAGGAAAAGTGATTTGTCCGAGGTCATACTACTCGGTCAGTGTTGGAGCTGAGGTTTGAACCCCAGACAGGCTGACTCCAGGGAGGACCTGAACTGTCTCTCTACAGGGCTGTTCATAGAGTACCTACTATGTGCCAGTCATTGTAGGTCCTCTCCAACCCTCCCACAGACTGTACCCCTATTTTGCAGAGAGGGAAACAGAGGCTCAGAGAGGTTAGGTAACTGGGCCAAGACTACACAGCCAGGAAGTGGCAGAGCAAAGATTCAAACTCAGACTTGCCTGATTCCCCAAACTTCTCAGGACCCAAGAGGAGAAAAGAGATCAGCCCTATCATTCGTTCAGTCAGTCAGTCAGTCATTCAACAAGTATTTATTGAGCACTTATTATATCAGGTATAGGGCAGACAGCAATCAACCTGACCCAGCCCCTGCCCTCAGGGAGCTCACAGTCCTGGGCATATCCATGGGGTGCTCATACTAAATAGTTATCTCTTCAGCATTTAGGGGAGGGGCTGTCAGGAATAGCTTCCTGGAAGAGGCAGCTCTGGAATTCTGTCTGGGCCATCTAGGTAAGACATTTAACTTCTGAGTTTTTTCATCTGAAAATTAGTAATAATAAGGCTCACTTGGTCCAGTGTGGCTCAAGAAATGTCATCCATGCCCGGTGCAGTGGCTCACATCTGTAAATCCTACCACTTTGGGAGGCCAAGGCAGATGGATCACTTGAGCCCAGAAGCTCAAGACCAGCCTGGGCAACATAGGGGACCCTCATCTCTATAAATAATAATACTAAAAATGAGCTGTGTGTGGTGGCACATGCCTGTGGTTCTAGTTACTCAGGAGGCTGAGGAGGGAGGATCGCTTGAGCCCAGGAGTTCAAGGCTGCAGTAAGCTGTGATCGTGCCACTGCACTCCAGCCTGGGTGACAGAGCAAAACCGTCTGTTAAAAAAGGAAATGGCTGGGCACAGTGGCTCACGCCTGTAATCCCAGCACTTTGGGAGGTTGAGGCAGGTGGATCACGAGGTGAAGAGTTCAAGACCAGCCTGACCAATATGGTGAAACTCTGTCTCTATTAAAAATACAAAAATTAGCCGGGTGTGGTGGCACGTGTCTGTAGTCCCAGCTATTCAGGAGGCTGAGGCAGGAGAATTGCTTGAACCCGGGAGGCGGAGGTTGCAGTGAGCAAAGATTGCACCACTGCACTCCACCGTGGGCGACAGAGCAAGACTCCATCTCAAAAAAAAAAGAAAAAATTCTGTCATTCATGATTACTGTTATAATCCCAGCGAGCCCCTACCACAGGGCACAGAAAGTGGGCAGGGAGAGAAGAGGGGTGATATCCCAAAGTCCATGCTTTGGGAGAGGACAGGTAGAGAGTTCCCAAGACCCTCAGAGCCCAGGAGTACAGGACAAACTAGTGAAAAGAATCCGCAGTGGCTTCAGACAGGGTGTCGCCTCTGTGGATCTGTGGCCAAAACTGTGACCTCAGCCAGGCCCCTGGGGCCTTCAGCAGGAATGAGGTCAGGGCTGTGGCTGGGGGAGAGAAAGGAGCAACAGGTGTTCAAGAACTAAGGACAGCTGCATAAAGGGTGGGGGAGGGGGGAGATTCTGAGCTTAGAGCTTTAGCATTGGTGTAACCTGAGTTCAAATCCAGGTAGGACACTCATCATGTGAACTTAGGCAGGTGATGTCACCTCTCCAAGCCTCACTTCCTCTTTTAGATATTGTGTTATTAATACCTGTATCACTAACTTGTCATAGAAAATCAGATCATCCTGACAATTACTTTATTGATTAATTGATTGATTGATTGAGACAGGGTCTCTCACTGTATCACCCAGGCTGGAGTGCAGTGGCACAATCATGGCTCATTGTGGCCTCAATGTCCTGGGCCCAAGTGATCCTCCCACCTGAGCCTCCTGAGTAGCTAGGACTACAGGTGCTCACCACCGCACCTGGCTAATTTTTGTATTTTTTGTAGAGACAGGGTTTCACCATGTTGCCCAGACCGGTCACGAACTTGTGAGCTCGAGCAATCCACCTGCCCGACCTCCCAAAGTGCTGGGATTACGGGTATGGTGTAGAGCACTTACCAGGGCCAGGGGCTGTTCTAAACACTTTCTACGTATATTTTGTTAATGAGAGGTATGTGGCACAGCAGCTGGCTCATGCCACATAAGCACAGCTGTTATCACTCCTCTGCATCATGTGATTTTGTTACAATCACTGTGTTTTACTAATCAGGAAAAACACCAGCAATAACAACAACAGGGAAAGCGAATTCCATTTTGGGAGCAGGATAGGGCCTTGGGCGATTCTGTGGGCCTGGCTGGGACCTAGATGAGGGCAAGAATTTCAGAGGGCCCAGTCCCTCTAGGGCTATGCACTTGAGGTCTTCTCTCAGGAACTTCAGGAAAAAAAGGCAGAATTAGAAACCTTTCCTAGGAAGAATTAGGAACTCTTGTCCTAGAAGTCCAACTTGCCTCCTAAATAGAGCATGTGTGTGTGTGTGTGTGTGTGTGTATGCATGTGTGTATGTATGCGTGCATGTATGCGTGTGTGTATGCGTATGCGCACGTGCATGTGTATGTGTGTGTATGTTTATGTGCACGTGCCTATGTGTGTATGCATGTATGTGCATGTGTGTATGTGTATGCACATGTGCATGTGTGTGTATGTGTACGTGTGTGTATGCGCACGTGCATGTCTGTGTGTATCTGTGTATGTGTATGCGCACGTGCATGTGTGTATCTGTGTATGTGTATGCGCACGTGCATGTGTGTATGCATGTGTATGCATGCGTGTGTGTATGCGCACGTGTGTGTGTGCATGTGTGTGTGTATGCGCACGTGCATGTGTGTATATGTGTGTATATGTATGCACACGTGTATGTGTGTATGCACATGTGTGTGTGTGTGTATGCGTGTGTTTGGTGGTATCGGGGCATTGTCCCAGATCACTGCCCAGCTCCTGGCCTTGCTCAGTCTTGCACGCTTTCCAGCCCAGCCCATCCAAGCCCTGCTGCCAACCGCCAGTCCCAGCTGTCTGTTGTGGCAGATGTTTTTGGCTGTGCCATAGCAACGCCAGAACAGGATGTAACTTGGATCACAGCAGGGACAAGCCCACGCGCACAGGCCGCCCATGCCTTTCCCCTCCCTGAAGGCCTGTTGGGAAAGACTGGTCAGGTCCAGGTCGAGGACAAATGGTGTTTGTTGTCTGGAGAGAGGCAGACCTCATGTCCTCTTGGGGTCAGTGGCAGGGGAGTGGGAGGACATAGTGCAAATCCTAGCTGAGCGCCTCCTTCAATGAGCTCAGGTTTGCATCCATTGGCTCTTCCAGGAGATGCTAAGGGAGTTGCCAGGTAGGACGAGAAACCACCTGTCAGCAAGGCCTGGCCTGTGGGGGCCGGCCTGTCTTCCCCACGATTATAGCAACTACTCATTGAGGGATTACTTTGTGCTACTTATGCTAAATACTTTCTATAAACAAAGAATATAAAGATTCAGGGGCATTTACTTTGTGTTAATTACACAGTGCTACCCTGTTTTTTTTAAGGAGCGAAGGTTTAATAGGCAAAAGAAAAAGAAAGAGAAAGGAAAACTGCTCTGTCTCTCTAGTGAGAGAGGGGAGACTTCTAAGAGGAAAAGAGCCACCAGCGGAGGATGCACTGGATTTTATAGTCAGGTTTGAGGAGGCGGTGTCTGATTTACATAGCGAACAAGATTACTTCCCTGAACTGTAAACTTCCCGCACATTGCATACACAGAGAGGATAGGAGATCCTTGCTCTGTCGCCCGGGCTGGAGTGCAGAGGCGTGATCTCAGCTCACTGCAGCCTCCACCTCCCGGGTTCAAGCAATTCTGTCTCAAACAAACAAAACGCAAAGTTGGAGATCCTGCTGCCAAAACCCCGTTGGGCAGTTGGAGGCCTGGGTCAGTCTAGAAGCCTTTGGATAACACCTGGGGTAGCCCCAGCCAGAAATCCTCAGTTGCTCCAAAACCTCTCCCAGCCCCACGTGACGGCTAAGTTCTCCATGAAAGGATGCTGGTTCAAACATGTCCAGCAAACCACGGGTGCTGGAGGATTCTCCATGTTCTCCCCAGTAAGACTGACGTCCGAGTCTTTAAGAATGGCAGCCACACTAACCGTGTTTTTAACTGGCTGATGGATACCCATTATTGATTTGACTTGGTTCTAAAATGGAGGCTGAGAGCCCTGAGATGAAAGGTCAGAGGTGGAGTCTGCTCCTCTACTCACCGTTTTGATGAAAGTTGTACCTTGGTATCCGGACAAGGTCCCCATTATGAAGCTGCTATGTTGTCTGGGGTAAATACCTGGGGTTCGTCATCTCGCACCAGGAAAATTTAGGACATGGACACACATGAAGAGTTTGGGAGCGGAGGTTTAATAGGCAAAAGAAAGAGAAAGGAAAACAGCTCTCTCTAGCGAGAGAGAGGGGACTTCGAGAGGGAAAGACCAACAGTGCTAGTCTTTATAATACTACTAGGAGGTTATTCCTGTTTTCCAAATGGGGAAACTGAGGTGGAGAGAGATTCAGTCACTTGTCCCAAGTAGCTGAATGTGTAAATTAAGGAGCTGCAATTGGGACCTAGGACTGTCTTGCTCCAAAACCCTTGATCGAATGGTAATGCTGCCAGGACTGGCTACATAATTTACTAGACCCAGTGCAAAACAAAAAGGCCACGCTCTTGTTTAAGAATGATGAGAAATTTCAAGATGGTGACAGCAGAACATGAAAACCAAGTGCAAGGTCTTCGCAAATTTATGCAACTGCCCTGAAGCCAGCCCTGGGCACTGTACTTCCATTGTCACAGCACGCAGTTCCCTTGCCACCCTCAGACACTCAGAAGGGTGGGCACAAGCAACCTAGAGCAGCTGACAGCCCAAGACAGTAAGCCCCTGCCTGGCACCCGAGAGCTACAGCGATCCAAAGGTACTCTGTTCCTGGGGACCAATGCAACCCCATCAAAGGGAGGGAAGGAAAGAGCCTTCCACAAAAATGCTCTACTGAGTTTCTAGAGCCACGGGCCTGGGAGCTTAGAGAGCAAATTTTAGCTCAATTTAAAAAAAAATTCTTTTATTAAATCTTTCCTTTTTTTTTTTTTTTCCCAAGATGGAGTCTTGCTCTATCACCCAGGCTGGAGTGCAGTGGAACAATCTCGGCTCACTGCAACCTCCACCTCCTGAGTTCAAGCAATTCTCCTGCCTCAGCCTCCTGAGTAGCCGGGATTACAGGTGCCTGCCCCCACACCTGGCTGATTTTTGTATTTTTAATAGAAGCGGGGTTTCATCATGTTGGCCAGGCTAGTCTCGAACTCCTGACCTCGTGATCCGCCCACCTCGGCCTCCCAAAGTGCTGGGATTATAGGCATGAGCCATCTCGCCCAGCCACATTTTTTATAAGCTTTTGTTTTGTTTTGTTTTTTGTTTGAGACGGAGTCTCGCTCTGTTGCCCAGACTGGAGTGCAGCAGCGCGATCTTGGCTCATTGCAAGCTCCGCCTCCCAGGTTCACGCCATTCTCCTGCCTCAGCCTCCCGAGTAGCTGGGACTACAGGCACCTGCCACCACGCCCAGATAATTTTTTGTATTTTTAGTAGAGACGGGGGTTTCACCGTGTTGGCCAGGATGGTCTCGATCTCCTGACCTCGTGATCCACCCGCCTCGGCCTCCTAAAGTGCTGGGATTACAGGCGTGAGCCACCGTGTCCAGCCACATTTTTTAAATTATAAAAGTAACATAATCCTGAGGCCGACACGGGCAGATCACTTGAGGTCAGGAGTTCGACACCAGCCTGGCCAACATGGTGAAACTCCATCTCTACTGAAAATACGAAAAGTTAGCCAGGCATGGTGGCATGTGCCTGTAGTCCCAGCTACTCGGGAAGCTAAGGCAGGCGAATCACTTGAGCTCAGGAGGCAGAGGTTGCAGTGAGCCAAGATTGGGCTACTGCACTACAGCCTGGGTGACAGAGAGAGACTCTGTCTAAAAAAAAAAAAAAAGCCGGATGTGGTGGCTCACACCTGTAATCCCAGCACTTTGAAAGCCCAAGGCAGGTGGATCACCTGAGGTCAGGAGTTTGAGACCAGCCTGGCCAACATGACAAAACCCCATCTCTACTAAAAATACAAAAATTAGCCAGGTGTGGTAGTGCATGCCTGTTATTCCAGCTACTCGGGAGGCTGAGGTAGGAGAATTGCTTGAACCCGGGAGGCGGAGGTTGCAGTGAGCCGAGATCACACCATTGCACTCCAGCCTGGGCAACAGAGCGAGACTCCATCTCAAAAAAAAGAAAAAAAAGTAACATAATTCTGTTGCAGAGATTTTGGAAGACAGACAAAAGAAGGAACAAAATAAGCCTTGAATCCTCCCTGTCTAAACCATTGCTGTTAGCAGGTGGTGAGTTTTCTTTCTTTCACAGAGGGCTTTCTGTCAGGATCCCCGGGATGACATAGACTGCCTCTTCTTTTCCTCAGTGCCTGGCCCACAGCAGGGGCTCCATGAACCAGAGAGGAATGCCAGAATGAGTGGATGTTATAAAGGGCTTGGCTTGGTTGACCTTTCAGATTCTTCTGGACTCTGAAAAACTCAGGATTCTTTGATTCACAGCAAATGCCTAGCATCGACCTGGGGTTCAGTCCCAATATGCCAGGCCCTTGCCAGTCTCAGAAGTGACTTGAGACATGGCCCCAGCCCCAGTGGAACTTGGTTTAGCCAGTCATGGGTGTCCCCAAACGTTCCAAGCTTTGGCAAATGAAGCAGGGGCTCCTTTTTAAAAAAGATCTTTATAAAAAATCAAGTCAACATGAAATTGGAATACGAAATTAATATAACTGAGGTTTTCCCTCAAATCCTATGCTTTTAAGCTAATGATTCTACAGTCCTAGAACCTTTTTTTTTGTTTTTTTTTTTTTTTTTAAGAGACAAGTTTTACTTTGTTGACTAGGCTGGAGTACAGTGGTGCCATCAAAGCTCACTGCAGTCTCCAACTCCTGGGCTCAAGCAATCCTCCTGCCTCAGCCTCCCCTTTAGAGTAGCTACATCTATAGGCACATGCCCCCACACCCAGCTAACTTTTAAAGTTTTGTGGAGATGGGGTGTTGCTTTCTTGCCCAGGCTGGTCTTGAACTCCTGGCTTCAAGCAATCCTCCCACCTCAGCCTCTCAAAGTGAGAGGACTGCAGGCATGAGCCACTGTGCCCAGCCTGCAACTAACACTTATGGTTATCAATACTCCCTCCCTTAGTTAACTGTCTTAGGTATCATAATAGCCTTTCTTATATGTATCAAAACTCATACTGAACAACAAGTTCTCAGTTGCAAAAGGAGATTTATTGTTTGCACCTGTCTATAAGTACTTGCCCACAAGTTAAACAAACGCACGCATAAGTCCACAGGGGCTCCTTTTCATGGCATATCTCATTTACTCCCTCACTCTCTCAGCATCTGTTGAGCATCTACTGCCCTCTAAGCATTGCACACATGCATTAGGGACTATTTTCCTTGGGGAGAAGATGGTGGGGTAGAAATTGCATGAATTTGGAGTCAGGCACTCCCAGCCTCTGCCCCTTCCTGGCTGTGTGTCCCTGACCCACGTTACCTAACCTCTCTGAGCATCCACTGCTTCCTCTGTAAAACAGAATCATATCTGCGGTGAGGATTAACTTGGTAATACATGTGAAACCCTTGCAACTAGGAATATATCCTCCAATTCCAACAATAACAACCACCATTTATTTATTAGGTAGTGTGCCAGGCAGAAGGGGATTTGCATGCATTATCAGTGAATTCACCAATGACCCCATGAAGTAGGTAGCATTGTCAGTTTGTTCTGATCCAATTTCAAGAGCAAGAGGGAGGTCTACCACCACCACCACCACCACCACCACAATGTACCATTTGTGGGATAATTTGTCTTTTTAAAATCTTTTATTTTTATTTGTTTTTGAGACACGGTCTTGCTCTGTTGCATAAGCTGGAGTGCAGTGGTTCGATCTCGGCTCACTGCAACCTCTGCCTCCCAGGCTCAGGAGATCCTTCACCTCAGCCACTCAAGTAGCTGGGACCACTGGCACACCACCATGCCTGGCTAATTTTTGTATTATTGGTAGAGATGGGGGTTCACCATGTTACCTGGGCTGGTCTTGAACTCCTGGGCTCAAGCAATCTGCCTGCCTCGGCCTCTCAAGGTGTTGGGATAACAGGCGTCAAGCCACCGTGCCCAAATTTGTCTTTTAGAGTCGGATGCTGGAGCATCCTCTCCTAGGCTGGGAGGTTGCTAATGTAAATGCCACACTGTATTTGCTGAAGTGGTTTACAAAAAAAAGGAATTTCAGGTTGAAAATGGACTCTTAACAAGGTACTTCAGGATGCACAATTTCCATTTAAAGGCAAAATATGGTGAATATGATCTACGGGAAAGAAACACACCTTGTGTCACCCCAATAGCCTTTGGAGCAAGAAGTGGGTCCAATTTCCCAGGGGCTGGGGGCTTCATCTCCAACTCATCTGCTTCCTTGCTGAAACCACAAGGGAGATCAAGATGCATCTTTGTCTGGCTTCTTTCTACTTCTGGGGTGGGAGAGACAGCTCTGGGAAGGGTTTCAGATGATGAGGGAGCAGTTCCTATCTGGCTTCATCAATTTTTAGATGTACCTGTAGGCAAATTACTTCCACTCTGTGGGCCTGTTTTTTCATAAACTGAGAATAATGCCAACAAGGCAGTTAATAGAAGGATCCCAAGGTAGTCCAAAGAGTTCAAGAAAGTTAGAAAAAGGACTCTCCTCTACCTTTTTTTTTCTTTTTTTTGTTTTTTGAGACAGAGTCTCACTCTGTCACCCAGGCTGGAGTGCAGTGGTGCAATCTTGGCTCACAGCAACCTCCACCTCCTGGGTTCAAGCGATTCTCCTGCCTCAGCCTCCCGAGTAGCTGGGATTACAGGCGCCCGCCATCATGCCCGGCTAATTTTTGTATTTTTAGTTGAGACGGCGTTTCACCATGTGAGCCAGGCTGGTCTTGAGCTTCTGACCTCAAGTGATCCACCTGCCTTGGCTTCCCAAAGTGCTGGGATTACAGGCGTGAGCCACCGTGCCCAACCCTCTCACCTCTTTTGAGATATGCATCACAGACCACAATGCCCAGTTTGGAGAATTCCAGGGGATTCTTTATGTAAAGCACATAGAAGGTATGTGATAAACATAACCTGGTTTTAGGAGGCAAGGATGCGTGGGTGGGTGGTGTTTCCTGGGTGGAGCTCTCCTTTAGAAAGGGCTTCTTTACCATAAAGTGAATCCCCCTAAGTTCCAAGCCGTCCTCTGTGCTGCCTTTGGAGCCTCTCCCGAACATCTTGCCAAGAGGGGGTTCCCCAGGCATAAACACAAACAAGCATGCGGATCCTCCCCAGCAAAACCACCTCCACTGTAGATGTGATCTGGGATCGTGCCCAACCGCGAGACAGTTACTCTGAGGAGGAAATCAGGGCAAAAGCAGCCCATTACAGGAATATTGTCCTAGGGCCTTGAACAAATAAGTATCGGATGAGTTTTATGAACACACATTGTTAGGGTAGTGTGGGTGTTGTCTCCAAAAAGCATGTGTGCAATGTAATTAGCAAAGCGTGAGCCTACTCAGTTGCATCATATTCTTATTTTGATGGTTTCTAAACTTGGCCATCAGAATTCCCAGGGAATCTCAGAAACATACAGATTGCTGGGGCCCATCCCACCCCATTCATGGCTGGAACCCAAAGAGAATTTGTTAGCTATCTTCAACCTTGCCAGAGAACAGTGTCTTGAACCATGACCCTCAGTGATTTGTTTTTAAAACATTTTACAGAGAGGGCTGCATTATAGCTTGATAACACTATTAGAAGCATCCTGTGGCTTGGCGCGGTGGCTCATGCCTATAATCCCAGCACTTTGGGAGGCCAAGGCGGGTGGATTACCTGAGGTTGGGAGTTTGAGAACAGCCTGACCAACATGGAGAAACCCCATTTCGATTAAAAATACAAAATTAGCCAGGCGTGGTGGCACATGCCTGTATTCCCAGCTACTCGGGAGGCTGAGGCAGGAAAATCACTTGAACCCAGGAGGCAGAGGTTGCGGTGAGCTGAGATCACACCATTGCACTCCAGTCTGGGCAACAAGAGCTAAACTCCATCTCAAAAGAAAAAAAAAAAAGAAGCATCCCACTAAACTTTTAATATTCAATAAGCAATTCTTAACCAAAATTTGGCACCCCATAGAGATTTACCTAGAAGGGGCTGGGCACAGTGGCTCATGCCTATAATCTCAACACTTTGGGAGGCTGAGGCAGGAGGATCATCAGAAACCAGGAGTTCAAGACCAGTCTGGGCAACATAGTGAGACCCTATCTTTTAAATAAATAAATAAATAAATTTAGCTGGGTGCAGCAGTGTGTGGCTCTGGTCCCAGCTACTTGGGAGGCTGAGGCAGGATTGCTGGAGCCCAGGAGATCAACACTTCAGTGAGCCATGACTGCCACTGCACTCCAGGCTGTCTCAAAAAAAGAAAGACTTACCTAGCAGGACTAAATGTGCTAATCAGCATGTGAGCAATCTGGTCTGCTTGATGATTATAATTCTTTTGGTAAAGTAATAAACTTGCATTCTGGTTTATTCATCAGTCTTTTGAGTCCAGTTGAGAGACAGAGCAAGTCCAGATGAACTGAACAAAATACTTCCTGGCTCTGCAGGCACTGGAATTTAGGGGTCACGCCCAGGTACTTGTGACAGTTAGTGCTCACCAAATACATGTGCCCCATACATTTCCCAGTCTCCCTGGCTGTTGCATTGGGACCCTGTGACTGGGCCCTGCCCACTGGAAAGCAAGTAGAAATGATGTATCGCATCCAGACAGAGGAGACTGAGTGAATGTGACTCCTCCCTGACTACACAGCAGAAAGCAAAGAACTCTAAGGAGGCAGAATTTTAAGATGGAAGTTGAGGTGGCTCACACCTGTAATCCCAGCACTTTGGGAGGCCAAGGTGGGAGGATCACTTGAAGACAGGAATTAAAGACCAGCCTGGGCAGCAAAGCGAGACTTCATGTCTATAATAAATTGTAAAAATTAGCGGGGCAAGGTGGTGCACGCCTGTAGTCCCAGCTACTGGGGAGGCTGAGGTGGGAGGATTGCTTGAGGCAGGAGGATCACTTTAGCCTAGGAAGTCGAGGTTGCAGTGAGCTATGATGGCACCACTGAACTCCAGCCTGAGCAAGAGAGCCAGACCCAGTCTCAAAAAAAAAAAAAAAAAAATTAAAAAAAAAAAAATGGAAGCAGCTCTGCCTCCTGAGTGTCCAAGGGAGAAGAGCCACCAAAAGCTGCCTGGGGTGAAGTGGACTGGGACATGAGCATGCACCTTGGAAACCAGCAGTACTTAGCCTCCAGGGTCCTCCCTCTCCCACCAGGGCTGGTGGGAGCAGGTTAGATGTTCTTTAGTGCACACCTCTGGCTTTACATTTCCTACTTGTACGGGAAGAGAACCCACCCAAAGTCCAAATCCTTTCCTGGTGGGTAACTTTTTTTTTTTGGTACACAAAGGACCACCCACAGGTGGGCCTGTTCTTGCTTACTGACAAAATTAGAAAGAAAACAGACTAGTTCCAGGAGGAACTATCATTTCTTCCTGTGGTCCTTTCTTTGGTGTAACTTGTCCAGGTTTTCTAGCAAAGAACTGAGCATGTAATAGATGCTCAATAAAGACTGGCCATGTCAATGACGATGATGATGACGATGTATCAGACTGTTTTGGCAAGGGCTGAGGAAGCAGTTTCCTTTTATATAAACTCAGTCATCAGGAATTTATAAAGAAAAAGTTTATTTTCATCACAAGAAGCACACACACTATATACAATACACACCAACAGAAGTAAAAAAAAAGTGCATTCTGCATCTTCTACTGCAAATTCACAGTACAAAAGATACTGCCTTTAAATATATTATTTAAAAAAACAAGAAGAAAAACAATAAAAAAAATCATCGATATCTTAACGCAATTCACGGGAACCCACTGGCAGCTTCTGGAAAACCAAACAACTCATGGTGTGGAGCTCCTGATTGGGGAAGGGACAGGGATTGGTCTGTACCTACATTTTGTTGCAAAAGAGCTCAGGACACTAACAGAGAGGAAAACTAGGGTGGTCTAGGTGGTAATAAAATCTCTATGAAAGAAGAGTATGATTGTGTGACTGGGGAATGGGCAGGTGCTGGACTCTGGTGCAGAGGCTGCCTGGCCTGCGCCACCCCACGGCTGGCTAGCAGACCAAGCTACGTTCTTTCATTGGCTCCTATGGGACACAGCATGGGCCAATGCCTGCCTGGCCTGCAGGAACCGCCAGTGTTGTTTCTAGCAAGGCTCCTTGGAATAGATGTGAACACACAATGTAAAACTGCATAGCAGGATAAACACGTATGGAGTAGGACAAGCTCACAACCCAATGCTGACCACTACTGACAAGACCAAGTATCCAATCATAACAGATGAGACTTTAACAGTTTTGCATAAATACATAGTATTTGTAAACTATTATTAAGGCACTCAATTGTAAAACAATAATTACAGTGTAGGAAAAGAGGGAGGAAGCAGCTATCTTCTCATGCAGCAAGGCCGACAGGAAGGACAGTGGAGGACTGGTGATCTGCTTATCGGGACTCCTGTCTGAGACAGTGACTGAAGCCGGGGCCCCAGCACCTATGGCCAAACAAGAAGACGGCAGTCTCTCCAGAACCACCCAGGGCGGCACTGGTCACAGTTTCATTCCAGATCGTTAAGGTGATTTGCTCTGTGGCTCAGGTGACACAGTGTGTCTGGATGCACATGATCACTTGACTCGGTTTCTATACTCAAATATACAGATGCAGAGTGAACTCAAACACACAGGCATTCCACTGCAGAGCAGATGATAACAAAACAAGTGGCTGGGGACAGGGGTCATTCAACAACCTTCATTTGGTTTGCAATGTCTGCAGGAATCTGGGTAGTGGGACCAAGACAAGTGAGCCTGCTCTGTGCTAGCCAGGTGTCACCAAGTTTCTGATCTACCCAGCTCTCTTGCCAGAGGTGAAGGGGGTCCCCTCGCTGAGTTGCGTGTTTAGAGGAGCCCTGCTAGGTGGCCAGCCAATGAGAAGAGTTTTGGGCAAAATGTATTCTGGCACCAACAATTTCCCACCAATGGAAGGCAACTCCCTCTCCAGATGCCTCAGGTGAGATGACTTAATAGGATCTTGACTAAATTATGTAGCATTTGTTCCCACTAGAGAGAAAAGGTCCCCAGGAGAGTGGTAGGGAAATTCATCAACCTTCTAGAATGGACTGCCCTCAGATAAGAGTGCATTAGTCCAGGGCCGTGCTGAGGGTCTGTTCTGTTCAAGCTCAGCTCCACACTGCTGCAAACTCTGGACTTCTCCAGGGGAAAAGGGCTTTAGATTACTGGAATGCTCTTTAGCTGAAGAGGACAGGGTGGAGCAGAATGGGCTTGGACAGTACAGCTGTCTGTGTGCACCTGGTGAGCAATCTGTATGCTTAAGCAACAGGGTGCCAAGGAGAAGGGCTTGCCACCCAGCAGAGAGCTATTCAACAGCCCAGAGGTTGGCTGGGGTCCCTGCATGGAGAGCAAGGAAGCAGGGAATGTAAAGAGAAATAAACTCTGCTCTTAGGAAATACATGCAACCAGGGACCTTGCTAGAAGGCTCGGAAGTAGCCGTAAGACAAAGAAATGGAAATCGGCATTGTCAATTACCATCCGAGAGCAGCCCCGGTTCTCCTCTTCCCGTGACCACTATCCCCCTTATACTTAGCAAGACTTAAAGAGAAGACTTTCCTGTATCAATGCAAGGTGAAGATGTAGAAAAGTTCAGTCTAACTTTTGGCATGCCACATGAATTAATGTGAGGCAGAAGATAAGATTCAGCTGTTTTTTATAAAGAGTATCAAGCTGATTTAGAAAATGTTCCTTTTGTCCCAATTCAACAAATGCATTCAATGAAAATGATAGTCATAAAAAACCAGTGACTTGCACAGCACAGACCCCTGCCTCCTCTGCCTGCCTCTTTCCTGTGCCACTTATGTTTGGAATTTTCCCCATCAGCTAAGGTTGCATACAAAGCAAGGGCCAAGCTATGGCATATGTTACAGTGCAAACTTCCTTTTCACAGACAGCATGAATTCGTCTTTGCCCAGGTGTCCCGACACCTGACAGAATGCTCATCTTGTTCATACAGCATTTTATTTTTTTGAGACGGAGTTTCACTCCCAGTTTCATTGCACCCAGGCTGGAGTGCAGTGGCGCGATCTCGGCTCATTGCAACCTCCGCCACCCAGGTTCAAGCGATTCTCCTGCCTCAGCCTCCTAAGTAGCTAGGATTACAGGCACGCACTACCACACCCAGCTAAGTTTTTGTATTTTTAGTAGAGACGGGGTTTCACCATGTTGGCCAGGCTGGTCTAGAACTCCTGACCTCAGATGATCCGCCTGCCTCGGCCTCCCAAAGTGCTAGGATTACAGGCGTGAGCCACCGCGCCCGGCCCCATCATACAGCATTTTAAATAGCCATGTGCCATCTGTTTACATGCAACTGATCTGGGTTTCCAAAAATAAACCTTACCCTTTTCTCCAGGCCAGGCTATTAAGCATCAAGTCCAGAATGCTTCACTCTGCTCTGTGGACGGGACCAGCGCTCTCGTCTGGATGTTGATATGCTAGCTGTGCTTCCAAAAATGAATGGGTAAGTTTGCCAGAAGCCAAAGACCAACTTGTACTCTCCAGATTCCACACCCCACCCCCCAACTCTTTAGATAAGAAAAATTATGGCTTTCAAAATTAAAGTTTTCAAAAATATATCATTCTCATACATAGACGTGGTTAAAAAACCAACAAAAGCCTGTCATCACTAAATTTAAAAGATTATTTTGACACAAAAATTGATCTACCACATGAAATTTGATTTGGCAAAACATACCGAACTTGATATTTTTTGAGGCTATGCTTTTGTTGGCTGAGGGAAAGGGGGAACAACCCACAGGGGTTTAGGAATAAGTGGATAATCACCTTTTAAGGTGATTTTAATTGACACTAGTGGGAAAACAGCTCCCTATAAAGTAATGTATGTATTTTTAAAAATCACTCCAAGGAGACAAAGTCCTGGAGGGAGGATTTTTGCAAAAACTGTGCTCACTAGGTAAAATATGAACTAGCCTTGTTCCTGCAGATCCCTCCTGGGGTGCTTTCTAGAATAGCTTTGGGGAACACAGTTCTGGCCAATGTTAAGATGATGGCTCACTCACTCACTTTCAGAATTCAGCTGGTCCTTGAAGGCTTTCTGGTTTCACTGAGTTAATCTGGCGGACCCAGCTGAGGGCAAGATGGAATTGTGGAAGAGCTTCAGCCAACTGTGTTCACCTGCCTTCCCCCATGTACGCAACCTACTCCATCCTGCACAGGTGAGGCTAGTGCGGGGCTGGCAAAGCTTGTGGTCGGGAGGAGGGAAGGGTCTGGCCTTAGGTGTCAGAGAGGCAGAGGGCTTCACATTTACCCAGTTTCTTCCTACAGGGCCATGAGCAGCCCTGTGTGGCAAATCAAACCAGGGGTCAGCAACTTTTTCTACAAAGGGCCTGACAGTAAGTACCTCAGGCTTTGTGGGCCACATGAATTCTGTCACATATTATTTCTTTTTTTTACAACTCCTTAAAAAGGTAAAAGCCATCGCTTGAGCCAGGGAGGTTGATGCTGCAGTGAGTCATGATTGCACTACTGTACTCCAGCCTAGGTGACAGAGCCAGGCCCTGTCTTAAAGAGGAAAAACCATTCCTAGCTCACGGGGCCACATGCCATAGTTTGCTGACCCCTGAATTCAACCTTTCTGCTTTTCTGCAAGCTGCCTCTCTCTCGAAATGTTTTGACATCTAGCTTGCTGACACCTTTGATTCAAGCCTGGCGCAGCGGGACTGGCTGAGCTCACCTGAGTCTTAAAGGGGCCGCCCACAGAGCCAGGCAGCGACTACAGATCCCTCTTATACTCCCTCACTGCTGCTGGGAAGAGCTGGAGGGAAACAGGAAGCAGTAATCTCACTGCAGGAAGGGGCAACTGTAGACATCCGGGAAGCATCCCGACAGTCCCGTTCCTTTCGGGGAAGCCGCTGAAATCTCCTTTCCCTTCCCTAGATGGGCCCTAGTGGACCTAAGCATCTGGGCTCTCAGCAGGACGATGTGTCTCAGAACCACCACCTGAGCCAGACACTTGAGCAATTTCAAACCTAAACACAATCATGTGTTTCAGCAGCAGACACTCAACAATGCAGGTGGGCCCTTCCCCTTGAGATTTAAACTTCAGCATTAGCAACAACTGAGAACAACCCATACATTTTCCCCACCGGACCCCTGTGCTGGTCAAACACGTAACAACACAACCAGGACAGGGCGCCTGCACCACCATTCGGGCACAGAGTCAGCTCAACAACAGCGTGGGACTACTCATCTGATGACTTTACTCAGCAGTGCTTGGGGCTGTCGGGTTAAAAGTCTTGACACGTCTGGGGTCCCAACCAAAACACAAAACGAAAAATTCTTTTTTTGGAAAAACGCTTTCAGACAGAGCATTATTCCCTGGAACAAGCCTTGGTCATTCGTGTGTTTTAAAAATAAAAAGCGCAGCGAGAACAGAGGTAGGACTTAATGTTGCCATCCGAGAGTTTTCTGCGAGGCCAAGAATGAGCTAGAACGTGTGCCGCGGTGAGGCTGCCACCACCAGGACTCTTCTGCAGGATGCGAAGGGAACAGTCTGGATGTGTGCGCCTATGTGTGCACGTTCTTCCTAAAACATGGTTCTTCTTGAAGACACGGTGGGAGCGGAGTTTTGTGTCTCCTGGCCGGCGGCTCCTGGTTCTCCCAGGCCACACGACTGACAGCTCCCCTTCTTGTGCTGCATGTTGGTTAGTTTCTTCTCCTCCTCTCTATGGCAAGAGTAGGGGAAAAGTTAGGATGACTTCACTCGTTTAAGGGAAATCAAGATGTAAGGGGTCGATCCAAATCCACAGTGAAAGTGAGGGAGGGATCATATGAAAATATCCGCCCAGCCTGACGCAGCAAAAGGCGGGTCAGCTTTTGCTCATCCACGAAGGGCTCTTTAAGTTTTCTGGGGCGGGTTTCCCTGATGGTTTGGAGGTTGCAGCTGGGTCCCTCGGGGTTCCCTGGGGCTCATGCAAGAAGGAAGATTCACTCAAAGTGGTGTCCTGGGAGTCAGCGACGGTGGACGGGTCAGCCTCACTGGACAGGTCTTCCGTTGAGAAGGTGAGACTCCCCAGCTTGGCAAGAGAGTGTGAGCGCTTCAGTGGGGAAGAGACGGTGAGGCCCGCCAGCCGGAGCCGGGTCTCAATCTCCTGTGTCCGCTGCTTCACCAGCCCGGGCTTCCCACGGACACTGTGGATGCTATCGCTGCTGGAGCTCCGGGTCAGGTTGGAGCTCATGGAAGAGGAGGTGGGGGTGTAGCAGATGGTCTTCAGAAAGTCTTTTGAGAAACTACTGGTGTGGTCCAGGCGGTAGAAGAAAGGAGGGGGGCTCTTCAGTGAGCCTCCTTCCAATGAAGCGGGGGCGGCCTCTGACTTCTCATCACTCCCGGCCTGGCTGGGCATAACCAGGGGGCCCAGCTCGTGGAGCGCGGCTGGATCCTGGCTCTCCTCGGGGATGCTGGCCTCCAGCCTGCTGGCAGGGCCATCCCTGGAGGGAGGTGCTGGGTCTGCAGGCACGCTCTTCAGCCGCTCTAGCTCTTTGGTGTGCTTGCGGACCAAGCCTGCCTTCTGCAGCTGAATGATGGACTCCTGGTGCTGCATCAGGTAGCTGTTGGTTGTCGGCTTCTCAGATTCATTACTGAACAGAAGCCTCAGGTCCTTGGCTGGCTTCATATCTTTCTTGGGTGACGATTCTTCCTTTATTACCACTTCTGTGCTGGGAGGGTTCTTATCACAGTGAGAATTCTTCAAAAGGAGGGACTTTGGCAGGACTTTTGGGGTCTCTCTGGAAGGTTCCAAAAGGCTGGCTGGTGGCTCTAGGGCAGCTCCAGCCCCAGGGCCACTGGTGTCTGCCCTCCTGGAGCCTGCTGGTGGTAGGAACGGGGGAGGTTCGGTTGGGCCAGAGGCTGGCTTCTCCGGAACACGGGACCTGCTGGCCAAGTGGGCCACAGGGGAGGACGTGATGTGGGGTAGGAAGGCTGGCTGGGTGCAGATGGCGGGAGCATTGGGGTCCTCACATCGCTCCCTGGAGGCCTCAGGAGCCCCGCTGGCTGTAGGGTACATGCAGTCGGCACAGGATTTATAGGAAGGCTTCACTTTGTTAAGGATCCCAAATATAGCATCATCCTGCAAGGAAGGGGACAAGAGCATGGTGAGACGGTGCAGTCATGAGCCAAAGACCAAAAACATGAGGGTGGGCAGGGAAAGGGGTGCGAGGCCGGACTGGGGGCCAGGCCTGGAGGGGAGGCTCTCATTTCACTTAATACTGACAGACAGACCTCCTGGAGCCCACTTGATCGAGAATAACCACTGGCCTGAGGTGGATTTTATACCCCAATAGAAAACAAGTTTACATTGTTTCCTAAGGAAACCCTCCTGCCTTTTGGTCAGTGAGGATCTAAGTGAACGTGACACATGCCTCTGTGTCCCCACCCTTCACTTCCTTACAGGCCAACTGACAGGTACCCAGTGGTCCTGGGAATGGACTAGAAAGCTGTGTGAAGAGTCCCAGGGGAGAGAGGGACAAGTTCTAAGTCTCCGCGGAGGGAAGGCTTCCCAGAGGAACTGACACTTCAGCTGAGGCTTCTGGGACAAGCAGGTGTTGACCAGCCAGAGAGAGCAGCATGCAGGTCCAGAAGCAAAGCAGGAAGGAGGAGGGCACCCCCCTACCCCACCCCGCCTGCACAGGACTGTAGGCTGGAGGGCAGGACAAGGCAGGAGGGCAACAGGGCTCTGTCTCTCTCTCTTTCAAACAGATAAGAGACAAGGTCCTACTATGTTGCCCAGGCTGGTCTCGAACTCCTGGGCTCAAGTGTTCCTCCTGCCTCGGCCTCCCAAAGTGCTAGGATTACAGGTGTGAGCGACTACACCCCGCCAGCTCTGTCTCTCAACACCTCCTTATGTCCTTGCCCCATCCTCTGAGCCACTGTGATCCCAGCATCCCAACTTCCCCTCTTACCCCAGCAGCCTGCCTGTAGACCACAGCCAGAGGGGGCTCATCACCCACCTGCTTAAAGGCCCCGCCATGGCTTCCAGTTTTTTTTTTTTTTTAAATGAAGTTTCGCTCTTGTTGCCCAGGGTGGAGTGCAATTGCGTGATCTTGTCTCACTGCAACCTCTGCCTCCCAGGTTCAAGCAATTCTCCTGCCTCAGCCTCCTGAGTAGCTGGGATTACAGGCATGCACCACCACAGCCAGCTAATTTAATATTTTTAGTAGAGATGTGGTTTCACCATGTTGGTCAGACTGGTCTCAAACTCCTGACCTCAGATGATCTGCCCGCCTCAGCCTCTCAAAGTGCTGGGATTACAGGCGTGCGGCACCATGCCCAGCTAATTTTGTATTTTTAGTAGAGACAGGGTTTCACCATGTTGGTCATGCTGGTCTCAAACTCCTGACCTCAGATGATCTGCCTGCCTTGGCCTCCAAAAGTGCTGGGATTATAAGCGTGAGCCACTGCACCTGGCCCAGGGTTTTATCTCATCTGTCTTTATGGGTATTTGCTTTGTGGTAGGCAGGGAAGTGGGGGAAATCCATAATTAGTATTTGATTTGGAATGCTTTATGGAGGTCGACAGATGCAACTGCCCAGTTTTGTTTGCATTATAACATGCTGTTAATAATAATAAACTGGCTGTATACTTGAATGCATCTGTCAGGACCCCAAGTGCCCCCACTTGAGAACCACGGCTGTCCTGTGAGATGGGCAGGTGAAGCCAGAGGCAACAAAGTCAGCAGCAGGGCAAGGGTGGAAGTGGAGACCAGGCTGCACGGCCACCCTTCCACTGAACCAGCCTCTGCTCCTGCATCACTTCCCCCATGGAGGAGGGAAAAGGTTGGCTGGAATTAACCAATTTCTCAGTAAGCACCAGGTTGAAGCTCAAACCTTGTGGCAGATAATCCACTAAAAATGGCAACTCCAAGAGACTAATGGAGTTAAGTATTAGAGTCTAAGTTGGAAGGCTGGATACTTGACAACGTTGGGAAATTACTATCAGTTTTGTTTTTGTTTTTAGACGGAGTCTCGCTCTGTCACCCAGGCTGGAGTGCAGTGGCACGAACTTGACTCACTGCAACCTCTGCCTCCTGGGTTCAAGCAATTCTCGTGCCTCAGCCTCCTGAGTAGCTGGGATTACAGGCATGCACCATCACACCCAGCTAATTTTTATATTTTTAGTAGAGACAGGGTTTCACCATGTTGGTCAGGATAGTTTCCATCTCCTGACCTCCTGATCTGCCTGCCTCGGCTTCCCAAAATGCTGGGATTACAGATGTGAGCTACCGCGTCTGGCCCTATCAGTTTTTTTAAAAGGTGACAATGGTATTGTGGCTATGTTAACATACTGGAGCATTTATGAATAAAATGATATATCTGAGGCCAAGCGTGGTGACTCAAACCTGTAATTCCAGCACTTTGGGAAGCCAAGGTGGGCAGATGGCTTGAGACCAGGCTGGGCAACAGTAAGACCTCATCTCTACAAAAAAATAGAAAAGATTAACCGGGTGTGGTAGCATGCGCCTGTGGTCCCAGCTACTCAGGAGGCTGAGGTAGGAGGATCACTTGAGCCTGGGAGGTCAAGGCTGCAGTGAACCGTGATCATGCCACTGTACTCCAGCATGGGAAACAGTGAGAACTTGTCTATAGTATGTATCTATCTATATCTACAGTATATACCTATAATATATATTTTTTAGATACAGGTATCTATATCTAAATCTGGGATTGGTTCCAGGATCATCAGGGGTGTGGGGAAGTGGGTGGTAGGGGTGAGATGAAAAAGAATAGTCATATATCGATAAAGGCTGAAGTTGGCTGATAAATTATATGTTTTAATTTTACATACACAAAAAGAAATTGAGTTGGAAGCCCTGCCCAGGGTATGAATAAGGTACATGGGGTGAAGATGGTGTGCAGAGATATGTGTTATTCCCAACAGATTCTCAATTTGCTATATAAGGTATGCACTACGTACCCACCAGCAGAATCACCCTGTGAAAGAACCCTCAGGTCCCTGGAGATGGGAGCTGGGGGCCCAGAGGAGACAATAGAAAAAAATCAGCTGGGTGTGGTGGCGGGTGCCTGTAGTCCCTACTACAGAGGCTGAGGTAGGCCAATTAGAGTGGGATGGAAGGGATGGGGTGTGCCACCCTGCAGGCCGGGCTCTGCCTACCTCCATGCCGTTGGGACAGCTCCTCTTGCTGTTGTTGTTTAGGTTCTCCGAGTTGAGCAGGTTTTGATCGAGCTGGGTTGGAAGCTGCCCCCACCTCCCTGCTCCCAGGCCCTCCTCCCTTTCCGTCTCCTCCACCTGCAGCAAGGAGCCGCTCCGACCTTTGGGACTCCCAAACTCTAGTTTCTTCTTCACATCCTTCTCACAGAGTCCGGAACCTTGCTGGGGCTGTCTGGCCGGCCTGTGCACCTCTGCAGGTGGAGCAGCTTCCTCCAACAGAGCCTCCCTCTCCGGATCCTCCAGGTGGACCAAGCTGCCAGTTTCATCCTCAGGGGAAGGCAGAAGGGGGTCTGAGAGTCGCCGGAAACAGCAGGGGAGGGGGGGCCCTAAGCCGGGCTGGGCGGCATCATCCAAGAAGGGCAGCTGGCTTTCCGGGGTGCCATCTGGGGTCTCTGGCAAGAAGTCGCCAGGTCCTGCAGGGTCATCCACAGGCTGCTGGAGGCTGCTGTCTGTCTGCTGACGCCACAGCTTGTTGTGCCGCTGTTTGCTGCGGGGAGAGAGGGTAGAGGAAGGTGAGGGGAGGAGGATGGTGCCTGGGGGTGCTGGGAAGAGTATGCGGTGAGCCAGTGAGGGGCTGCCCAAGGTCAGGGCGCCAGGGACGATCCATGGCTCATTCAGGTAAAGCCTCTCTCTGTTCATTTGTTCCCAAGAAACACAAGGATGAGAAACAGCACTGGCTCCTAAGTTGTCCAGGCTCGCACAGGAAGCCTGATGTGACTTTCTGCCTCTGATGACAACGGGGAAGGAACGCGGGGGCGTCTAGACTTCAATCTGTGTATCTGTGTTTAGTGATGCCTCATTGTCACGTCAGTTACACTCCATCTCTCATTTCTCTGTCAAATAAGAATAACAACGCTCTCCTACCTATATTGTAGGGAAATGAAGGGAATCAAAGTGGAGTATGTACAGATCTATACACGATAATACAACTATACACACACATAACGCACTGCAATGCATTTGGGAAGATCCTGGAAAACTAGAAAGTATTTGTTTAGGTTTAGGTCAGTTTTTAAACAATTTCTTCTACTATGATGACATTGTTTTTATAATCCCTTTTTTTTTTTTTTTTGAGATGAGGGTCTCACTCTGTGGTCCAGGCAGTGCAGTGGTGTGATCACGGTTCACAGCAGCCTCAAACTCCTGGGCTCAAGCAGTCCTCCCACTTCACCCTCCCAAGTGGGGCTACAGGCATGTGACACCATCCCTGGCTAATTTTTAAATTATTTTTTTTGTAGTGACAGGGTCTTGCTATGTTGCCCAAGCTGGTCTTGTACTCCTGGTCTCAAGCGATCCTCCTACCTCAGCCTCCCAAAGTGTTGGGATTACTGGCATGAGCCACTGCACCAAGCCCTGTAATACATTTTTAAAATGTAAGGCATAAAAAAAAAGTTTACGGTGAAATAAGGTAACTAAGTCACCCTCAAGGACCTTAAAGTAATACCAGTATCACAGGCTTGCGAGGGTTAAAAAGAGAGAGGTAAATGTAAGAGCACAGTGTGACAGAGCCATTCATCCTCTCTGCTCGGTGTGCACATCCCAGCCAGCAGCTACTCAAGGTCACTGCCACGCTGCTATGAACCTGGCCTGGAGCGCCTGGCTTAGGCTGCAGAGGGCACTGAGTGCGTGGCAGGCTCAGGGAGAGGTCAGTGAGATGCTCGCTCTTCCTCCTCCTCCTCTGGGCCTTGCCTGGGGACCTGTCCAGCCCTTCCGACAGTGAAGGAGTCCACAGTTGGCCGGCCCTGTTCTCTGGACCCTGTTTAACTCTGCTAGGGCACTCCTGCATTCCCAAACTTGGCCAAGAGGCTGGTAGACTTTGCCTGTGGCTTCCTTCCAACACCAGACTGATATCTCCCAGGGAGGCCTGCTTCTTGTACAGACTGACTGGAAAGGGAACCGGGAGAAAGTGCCGCCCAGGCTCTGGGCTTCCAACTTGAGAGCCTGGGGTACTGGAACTACGGTGAGGACCTCCCCCACCACCCCGTGTGGGTGACAGAACCGCAGGGCTTTTTGCACACAGCACCCTGACTCAGAGGCTGAGTGAGGGGCCGCGGTGTACCTCTCCCTCCTGCCGCCCACTGGCTGTGTATGGGGGATAGGTCAACCTCTCAGCGTCAGCTCCTTATCCCTGCCCTGATCCTCGTAAAAGGGGGATAACCTGTACAGAAATTTTTAGGATGGGAGTTCAGAGACTTTAAGCTACATTTATTATTTACTACAAGCCAGATGTGGAAGTATCTGTAAAGGTAAACTTGTTTAGCACTGCAAAAGGAAAACAAATCTTGGGACCCCAAACTCATTAAGCCAAAGGGAAAAGTCAAGCCGGGAAGTGGGTCACGCAAATCTGCCTCCCATTTTGATTCCTAAATAAGATGGCTACGAAGATGAAAAGCTACACACCTCCCTCATATCTTGCCCACAAGGAAATTCCTTGCGGTCCCCAAGATCTTTACCCTAAAGCTTTTCGGTTAAAATTCACCATGGCAATGTAAATTGCCCACTATCTTCATAGATTGTGGGGGGTGGGTGGGAAGGAAGACACAGGACAGAACTCAAAGTCATCCCTCTACCCATCTGACACAAATGCATATCTGATTGTTTCCTCTGCTCTATTGTCTATGTTATGCAAAAACGCAGATTCACTGAGCCAGATGAAGGCATACATGACTCTCTTCCCCCTACCCCGCTTCACATGAAAATTGTGCATTTCTCGATATCCCATCCTTTCCCCTTAAAATTTGAAGCCCTCAAAATTATCTTCAGAGAAAGGCACAGACGTGTCTCCCAGGTGTGCATCCTTAACAATGGCAAATAAACCTCCTAAAATGATTGAGACTTGCCTCGGTCATTTGGCTTGATTGACAGATAGCACTCATGCAAACCTCACAGCAGCTCTATTGGGTGGGTATTCTTTAAAAACTTTTTTTTTTTTGGAGGTGAAGTCTCACTCTGTCACCCAGGCTGGGGTGCAGTGGTATGATCTCGGAACCTCTGCCTCTTGGGTTCAAGCAATCCTCGTGCCTCAGCCTCCTGAGTAGCTGAGATTACAGGCACACGCCACCACACCTGGCTAATTTTTTTTGTATATTTTTAGAAGAGATGGGGTTTCACTATGTTGGCCAGGCTGGTCTCAAACTCCTGACCTCAGGTGATCCGCCTGCATCGGCCTCCCAAAGTGCTGGGATTACAGCGCCTGACCCTCAATTTTTTTTTTTACAGCTAAAATACATATAATATAAAATTTGGGCCAGGTGTGGTGGCCCAGCACTTTGGAAGGCTGAGGTGGAAGGATCGATTGAGCCCAGGAGTTTGAGACCAGCCTGGGCAACATACCAAAACCTTTTCTCTACAGAAAAAAATATAAAAAATTAACCGGGTATTGTGGTGCGCACCTGTAGTCCCAGCTGTTTGGGGGGCTGAGGTGGGAGAATCATTTGAGCCTGGGAGGTTGAGGTGTCATGATCATACCCTGCAATCCGGCCTGGGTGACAGAGTGAGACCCTGTCTCAAAAAAATAAAATTTGCCACCCTGACCTCTTTTTATTTATATATTTAAACAATTTTTATTTATGTATTTCTTTCTGAGAAAAGGTCTCGCTCTGTTGCTCAGGCTGGAGTGCAGTGATGCGATCATGGCTCACTGCGGTCTTGAACTCCTGGTCTCCCAGGTTCAAGCCATTCTCCCGCCTCAGCCTTCCAAGTAGCTGGGATTACAGGTGCACGCCACCACACCCAGCTAATTCTTGTATTTTTAGTAGAGACGGGGTTTAACCTTGTTGGCCAGACTGGTCTCGAACTCCTGACCTCAAGTGATCCACCTGCCTCGGCCTCTTAAAGTGCTGGGATTACGGGCATGAGCCACCACACCCGGCCTCATCTTGACCACTTCTAAGTGTACATTAAATACATTCATAATGTTATGCAACCATCACCACCAACCAGAGAGCCTCTAGAGTCTCCAGAATGCTCTGTCTCTGGCAAAGCTGAAATTCGGTACCCATTGAACAGTAACTCCCCATTCCCTTCTTCCAGTCCCTGGCAACCACCATTCTACTCTCTGTGACTTTGACTTCTCTAAGTATTTCATATGCATGGAAACATACAGTAGTTCTTTTCGTGATTTGCTTATTTCACTTAGCGCAATGTCATGAAGGTTCATGACTGTCGTAGCCTGTGTCAGTCTTTCCTTCCTTTTTAAGGCTGTGTAGTATCCCATTGTATGAATATGTCACGTTTTGTTTGTTTATTCATCCATCAATGAACACATGGGTTGCTTCCACTTTTTGGCTATCGTGGATAATGTTGCTATAAGCACTAATGTACAAATATCTCTCCGAGACTCTGCTTTCAATTGTTTTGGATATATTTCCACAAGTGGAATTGCTAGATGATATAATTTTATTCCTTTTTTTTTTTTTAGACGAAGTTTTGCTGTTGTTGCCCAGGCTGGAGTGCAATGGTGTGATCTCGGCTCACTGTAACCTCCACCTCCCGGGTTCAAGCAATTCTCCTGCCTCAGCCTCCTGAGTAGCTGGGATTACAGGTGCATGCCACCACACCCAGCTAATTTTGTATTTTTAGTAGAGATGGGGTTTCTCCATGTTGGTTAGGCTGGCCTTGAACTCCTGACCTCAGGTGATCCACCTGCCTGGGTCTCCCAAAGTACTGGGATTACAGGCATGAGCCACAATGCCTGGCCCCTAATTTTCTGAAGAACCACCATACTGTTTTCCACAGCACCTGTACCATTAACATCCACATTAAGGTGAGCATTCATTGTTTTGTTTGTTTGTTTTCTTTTTCAGACAGCGTCTGGTTCTGTCACCCAGACTGGAGTGCAGTGGCACAATCTCGGCTCACTGCAACCTCTGCCCCCTGGGCTCAAGCAACCCTCTGATCTCAGCATCCCAAGCAGCTAGGACCACTGGTGCACGCCACCACGCTGGGCTTTTTTTTTTTGTACTTCTAGTAGAGACAGGGTCTCAGCATGTTGCCAATGACAGCAATAGGAGGCAGAGAAATTCTAGGCAGACAGGTGCGGGTCCCTGGCAAAACCCCACCTTCAAGCCGAAAAGCCTGAAACCTGTGTCCCAGAGTAAGAACACCCAACCCTGTGTGCCTGCTCTCTCCCAACTGGCTCTTTCTGAATAATGTCTTTTTACCAATTGAATGTTGCCTTTTCCAAAACTACCTATAGCCCACTCCACCCCCATCCTGTGCCTATAAAGACCCCAGACTCAGCTGGCAGAGAGAAGCAGCAGTTGGACGTCAGGAAGAAGTGCCTGGATGTCGGAGAGAGTGGCAGCTTGACTTTAGAAGATGGAGGCTGGACGAGGCAGAGAGGTGGCTTGACCTCAGGGGAGAGCGACCTTCCCTTCCTATCCCCTTTCCAGCTCCCCTCTCTGCTGAGGGCTGCTTTCATCACTCAGTAAAATTCTCCACATTCACCATTCTTCAATTCGCCCATGTGACCTCATTCCTCTTGAGCACCAGACAAGAATTCAGGACACACCAGGTGTGAGTACCCAAAAATGCTGTCACATTGGCCCTTTGCCCTCACTGGTAGAAGGCAGCTGCCTCACACGATGAAGCAAAGGGCCCACTGAGCTGGTAACACACTGCTATCTGTGGATGGCAGAGCTAAAGGAGTATTATAACACACCCTCTGAGGCCTTAGGGTCACAGGCACCCACACCTGGATGCTGCCATGGGGCCTGCACAGGGTTCACTCCTGCCAGAGCAAAGAGGCCGGTTCCTCCACTCGCTCACCCCAGTTCCTGCACTAGTTCGCTTGTACGCTCCCTCCCATGAGGGGTTGAGTGGGGTGGACTGGGTAAATGAGGCACCTCTGTCACGTGTCCCAAAAAGGGGTCAAGAAAATATACTACATCAGCAAGGCTGGTCTCGAACTCCTGAGCTCAAGCGACCACCCACCTTGGCCTCCCAAATTGTTGGGATTACAGGTGTGGGCCACCACACCTGACCTCAGTGTTTTAAAAAGCATTTTTGTTTAAGAGATGGGGTCTTGCTCTGTCATGCAGGCTGGAGTCCAGTAGCACAATCACAGTTCACTGCAGACTCGAACTCTTGGGCTCAAGCAATACTCCCATCTCAGTTTCCTAAGCAGCTCGGACTACAAGTGCATGTCCCAGGCCCAGCTAAGGTGGGCATTAATTCTTAGAAGAGGGAACTGAGGCTCGGGAAGACTGATGGGCTTGCCCTGACTTGCCCTGCTCATCAGTGGCGGAACCTGGTTGCTGTGCCTCTCCGAGTCCTTGGCTTTTCCTGCAGCAAAGCTGGTGCACAGGGCTTGGCACAAACCAGATGCCCAGGAAGCGAGATGCGCACGTGCTTACGCCACACACACGAGGCCAGGCCTTGGCTTAGAACCTAGGCACCGTTCCCTCCAGCAGCAAAACCAGCTTTATGTGTGTGCCAAGAAAATCAAAACAGATCCCTCCTGGAAACCACTCATCAAAGCCCAAACAATAGTTGTTTTTCTCAAACTGGCTCCCCCTGAGAGGCAGGATTTTGGCTGTGGAAGCGGCTGCTGGGCCGAATGGGAGCATGCTCTGCTGCCGACAGAGGCCTGGCTGGCTTGGCCACATGGCTGCTCCAGCTCCGCCTGCCAACCCTTCTCTCCAGGCAGGCACCCACCTTGCATCCAAGATGCCTTCATACTCAGACAGCTGCCTCATAAAGCCCGCGTTGGGGCGCGTGATGCTGCGCTTCTGCTTTACATAGTTATATGCTTTTTCCAGAGGCCAGCCGAATTCCTTCATTGCATAGGCTATGACTGTGGAGGCCGAGCGACTCACGCCCATTTTGCAATGCACCAGGCACTTGGAATGGTTCCTCCTGCAGGGGTGGGAGCAGTTGGGGAGGAGAGATGGGGGAGAAGCAGTGGGGAAGGAGTTAAAAAGCTCCAACAACTTCATTCTCTCAGGTTTTACCCGAATCATTTTTTTAAACCCTGTAGATATCTTACTGCCGAAATCCTCCTACGTCTTAATGTTTACGGAGCAGATGTCCACGCACTCTCTAAAGGAAATACCACCACTGTAGAATCAATTAGCACACAATGGGATATCAAAAGAAATCTGTTCTGGCCTGGCCATGTTTTGTTTGCAGGGAGAGCTTCAATATTTGGCTGCCTTCAGGGACCAAGTGAGAATCTTCTCACATGGCTGGGATGGGCTAGGGGACCAAAAGCCCTTTCCTGAGACGAGAGTGGGCAGCTAACGGGATTTCTGCAAGAGCTACTCAGCTGCTACAGCAGATGGAGACAGTGAATGAGTTACTGCAGAAAAATGGGGTCAGCAAACTGAAAGCTGCAAGGCCCTGGGGAGAGCGAGATGCTCTTCAGACAGGAGGGCCAGGGAGCAGGAGTAAGGGCGGCCGCAAAAAAAAGCCAGGAGTGGAAGATGGGGCTGGCCGTTTATTTGTAAGGAGGCAGTGCTGGCCCAGGCCTGGCTGATTTACCAGATATGGCCCAGGAGACAGTGTTTCTTTAAGTATCACTTGCTCAAGAATGTGAAGGAGCGCCAAGCCAGTAAGGGCAGCACCTGCGAAACTTTATTTGTACAGAAGGCAGACCCACCAGGTGGGAGCCGGCTCTGGTTTCCTATACCCCAACCTTGAAATTCTCCTGCAAATCTCAGTGGGGTTTTTTCCCCCTAACTGCTGGTCTGAAGTTTCCGTCAAGGGAGTCTTGAGTTTGTCTCCTGGGAATATAAGGGAACTAAGATTTGGTTAAGGACACATCATGTGGCTTTGACCCAGAGGGAGATAAAGCAGAAGAGGGTGATTGTCTTGACAGCATCTCAAAGGGTTCTTTCTGTTCTTAATAAGGCAGAGCTGTTTCGCAGGGGAATAAAATGAGCACCAGAGACAGGTGAAACCGCTGACGGGCTCAGGGGCAGTGGGGCTGGCCATGACCTCCAACGTGCTGTCCTGTTTCATGCGACAGTAACTCAGGGAGGGAAGAAGGGCCGTATTCTTAGGGAGACAGTCCCAAAGAAGCTCTAAGCCCGTGTCCGTGCATGTCATCCCCTAGCCCTCTTTGGCTCAGTGACTTCCTAGGGGTGGGGCCCCTGAGTGTCCACTTGGTATCTGGGGCTTGCCTGGAATCAGAGCTGATGATGACAACTGGGGTCAAGTGTCACAATCAAAGATAGGTGGGAGAGACTAAGCTCAATAGGGACTCTACCTGGAGAGGACCAACCACTTTTCTCCTTTGGTGCTTGGAGTCCTGCGACTAAAAGCAAAGGTCCATCCCACATCAAGTCCACTCCCACCAGCCAACTCCTGCGTCTGGAGTCCCGTTAGGATCCCCCCTCCCACCAGCCGACTTCTGCATCTGCAGTCTCGTTCATTCCCACTCTCCCAGCCTCAGCAGGTTGGTTTCATCCTCAGCCCCGCCTCTCTGTCCACTTACTTCGCTTTGTTTATAAAATGATACGCTTCATTCCAGTGGGCGAGGAGGTCTGTGGTCTCTTCATCGTAGACTCGGATGTTATGATATGCAAATAAGCCAGGAAAAAAATTATCGATTTCTCTGGTAACATTTAAAATGTAATCAACCCTGCAATGAGAAAAAAATAAGAAACAAATTTGGACAATCTGAATGAGAAAGAAAAGCAAGGTAATAAAAACTGGCAGAGAAAAGAAAAGGAAACACACATTAACCAAGGGTCATATGTTCGTGGCGGGACTTTGGTTTTTCCTTAATAGCTATGTTTTTTGGTATTTTCTAAATGCCCTCTCAATGGTGAAAATGTGTTATATTTATACTAAGAAACCAAATTATTGTAAAGACCTTATAAAAAGAAAGCTCAGTTTAAAGCATTCTGGAAAATTAAATATACGTATTACTTAAATTTATAACTATTCATGACTATTATGAATATACAGAGGCTTAAAAAAATCCCAGTGTCTTCACTCTTAAAGAGCTAAAAAGCAGACTATATCCATCCATTATCTATATCCTTGGGAACTGCCTTAAATCTTTTTTTGGAAAAAGGCAAGATAGACAAATAAGTATTTGACAGGGTCTGCTAACCCAGGTTCTGTAGTTCTCTCAACTTAATCAATACTTTTACTTCTGGAAGAAAATAATGTCAGGAGTTAGAAAACATCTCAAATAGGTTTCATAATATTTAGACATGCTTAAAAAAATACCTAAGAAAATCATTAATTTATTCCCAGCAAGACGAAAGCACAGAAGAGTATGGCCTTACGTTTTAAGAATACTTTCTGTTGAAAGAATGCATCTTAACCGGTAGTTCTAAAGATGTATTTTAAGATTTGTTTAGTCTTGATTTTTAAACGTGGTAATTCTAGAATGTCATCATGTCAGGCCCACAGAACGGTGATTTTGTGGCTGTGTTGTTTTAAAAAAAAAAAAAAAAAAAGTCCAGACATCTGTTCTTGAAGGTCTAGATTGAAACATTTTTCATCCCTGCTGAGTGTTTGTCAGACTACGACAGGCATATGCTTCTGGCCAACACTGAGCGTAAAGTTGCAAGATTCCCACCAGGCCCCAAAGCATTAGCTCAGATAGAGCCCAAAGTGGCCCAGGGATCAGGGTTGCTGACTAACGCAACAGCCAGCAGACCTCTGCGTCCACACTAGGGTTTGCAGCAACTGTGCGGGGCAGGGAAGCGGGGTGGGGGTGAGGCAGCACAGAGCCTAATCAATATCCAGGCGGTCCTACAGCAATTAGAGTGTAATTTTAAGTTTTCCTCAATCCACACGATCACGCGAGACTTCGGCACAATCTAAACTCCATGAATTATTCAGGGCGTGGTGTTTGGAAGCACATCTGTTTAGCTATGCACATCAACCCCTGGCAGCCACTTCAGAGACCAGGGTGCAGGCAATTACAGGCAGGCAGCCCCAAGGTCTCCCCCTCCATGGCAGAGTGGAGGGTTTCTAAGCTGCCTGGAAGGACAGGGAAAGACAAGGGGAGGAGACTCACCCTGAGCCCTGCAGTTCCTCCAGATTGGATGCATTCCATTCAGAGCCCTGGGAGACAGATCACACAAGCTCCTGTGAGTGTCACATGTCAGCCTCAGAGCTGCTCAGGGGATGCATGGTTTGCCCTAGCTCTGGCGGTGAGGTCTTATTTCATGGCCCCATTGGCCTCAGAGAACAGAGAGAACCAGCGGCTGATATTCAAGGAGATTCCTGAGTGAGTACTCAGAGCATGAGAGGAAGGGAGGGAGGGACGGAGGGAGGGAAGGGTCCCGGCCCTCACTGGCCCCTTGGCCTTAGGGAAACAGCAAGTCCAGGAAAACCTGCTCTCCGTCTCCCCACTTCCTTTCCTAAGAGTCCAGTGGGGGGGGGTCCTGTAAGCAGAGGCAATGACCTGCGACCTCCCACCCAGGGAAGGGCACGTTCACAAGCCACTAATTAAAGCAGGAATCGTTCTACCTTCTGGGAAGTATTTTGGCAATACTGAAAAAGTTCCCACCCTCTGACCCAGTAATTCCACTTACAAAAAGCTATCCTGAGGAAATAATCAGAACTCACACAGTGATTTAGGTAGGAGGATATTTATAATTATTTGTAATAAACCAGTGGAAACCACCCAAACGTCCAAAGGGAAAAAATGAGTAAAATAAATGAGGCTGGATCTTCATGATGGAGTCTTTAAAACAAATAAATTTTGCAGAATATTTAATGACACAGGCAAATACCATGTAAGGAAAAAAAATTTTAAGAGAGGAGGATAC
This sequence comes from Homo sapiens, assembly GCF_000001405.40. Taxonomy (NCBI): domain Eukaryota; kingdom Metazoa; phylum Chordata; class Mammalia; order Primates; family Hominidae; genus Homo; species Homo sapiens. The sequence goes on from NC_000012.12 coordinate 108,803,079, forward strand.
AGGACTATATAAACATAAACAGTATGATCCTTTCTTTCTTTGTGCGTTTTCAAAGAAGCTATATATGCATTTTAAAAACCCAAAAAAACAGAAGATGGGAAAATAAATATGCCAAAATGTTAACAGGGACTACCTCTGGATTTGCGAGATCGGGAATGCTTTTTTCTTCTTTAGATTTATTTCTATTTTCAGACTTTCTGCAACATGTTTTAATTTAGTACTTTTAAAAAATGGTATCATTGAAAAACCTTCCACTCCCAAGCATTCAAAGGACATGGAACGGGGGAAAAAAAAAAAGAAAAGAAAAAATGATCACTTTCCTCTTAGGAAATGCAAACAACATAGTATCATAAAGAGCAAAAGAATCCACCTTTGTCTTCCTTGAAACTTCCTTTCCCAAGTTCCCAAGAGGGCAGACCCCTCAGGACCAGGGGTGGCAGGGCCCTGAGCAAGCTGGCAATGTGCGACACTAGCTGAATTTTCATATTTGAGGGAGAGGCCCAAACATAAAAATTCCTTTAGTATCTCTCATGGAAAAAGTGACATAAAGCACTGAACCACACTAAAAACATAACGCGAGTGCCGCTGAAGCTGAGACTGTCCTCTTGCTGTGACTGCCACCTAGTGGAGAAAGAAGGAAGGTGCCTTCTGTTCCCTTCTCACCAGGGAAATCAACAGACTTCCAGGGAGATCAGTGCCCAGGACTGCCCACACTTTCAAATCCACACATGTACATACATTTTAATCAATCACTATGAAATCTATATAGATTTGTATACAGAAATGTATTAAAAAATATACATATCTACTTATCTACATAGATATCATGACATATACATAACTCTTAATTACTTCCTACAGAAAACAAAGTCTTTCTTGTCTCTAGTAGTAAATTTACTTCCTTAGCTTTCCCAGGAAGCACTTTCTCCTCTAACAATGGTTACCATTAGTTAGCACCTGCAAAAACTGTACTCGGTGCTTTAAATATGTATTTTTAATTTTATTTTATTAAAAAAAATATTTTTTAGAGACAAGGTCTCACTATGTTGCCCAGGCTGGCTTCCAACTCCTAGGCTAAAGCTATCCTCCCCCTCAGCCTCCTGAGTAGCTGGGACTACAGGCATAAGCCACTGTGCCCAGTTTGTATTTCATTTAATCCTCATAGTCATCCCTTGGGGTATAGGATGAAGAAAAAAAGAGGAAAAGTGACTTCTTCCAAGTCACATAGCCGCTGAGGCTGAGGAGTGGGAATCCCGGCCCTGGTGGGCCCTGATTTTCATTACACCACTAGGCCTCTCTAATTTTAGTAACGTGCCTTCCTCTATAGCCTCTCTGACTTTGACAACTTGCCAGTTGCCTTCTATGGATATTCACAGCATTAAAACAATCTGAGCTAGCCGTGGAGGTGCACAGAAATCAGTACAACCCACCCAGAGCTACAGGACCCGGGTGAGGGCTTCCAGCGGCCCTGGAGCCGTGCATGGAAAAGCTGTCTGGACAAGCTCAGCGGGAGCTCCGTGTCAGCTGTGTGATCTCTCCTCCCTGTTGTTTCTCATGTCTCAGGATGCCTAGGCATAATTCTGGGGTTTGGTGAGGACACTTCCTTTAGTAACTGGGGTTTTTTAGCCCACAAACCACTTGGAAGTAACTGGATGGGGCCTATGTGTTAGTGGCTGAAGAAGACAAAGGGTTTGCAAGAGTCTGAAACACATGCCAGTTGACTACGCCAAATAGCTCCCAAACAACTCCCCGCAGCTCAGCTGGAAGCCACGTCTCAAACAGCTGGCTCAAGAGCAGATCAGCAGGCTGCAGGCCAGAGAAGGGGCCAAAGAGGGGAGCTCCTGCCAGCCAGGATGGAGGCTCTGGCAACTCAAGTTTTTTGCCTGCTTTTTCTCCCGGACTTGCTACAAACTCTTAAACAACCAGGGTCTGATTTATGTCCCCCAAACCAGATACTGCCAGGGCCATGCCTCTTACGAGATAAAGATGATCGAAGATAAGGGAGGGCTTGTCCATCTGTCCCAAGATAAGTAGCATCTCATTGTCTATAAATTCCTTGAGTTCCTTCAAGTTACAATTCATCTGTTTCTCTAATTCATTACGAATCTGTGGAGTAGAAAATATTAGGAAAAGTGATTTGTTAAAGAAAACAATCGTCCACCTCAAAAGAATTAAAGTTACAATGGAAACTGTGCCTATTTCCAAAAAAGGTGGGTGTTTTTTCTCTTTCAGAGTAATACATTTAGATACACGCAACATACATGCGTGGGTGGCAGGAATGCAGGTTATTCAGCTTAGAAGTAAACCCAACTGGGTAAAGTTTATTATTTCAAATAAGGAATTTGATTTCCATGAGATCTCTTCTACCAAGTTTAAACTTACTTTTACTTTTATAATTAAATGTCAAATACATCAAATAATCTAAAATCAGTTCTATCTTTCTTGGAAAGATATCACAATATGATTTTTAAAAAATGTATTCATTAATTAAAAGACAGGGCTGGATGGAGTGGCTCATGCCTGTAATCCCGGCACTCTGGGAGGCCTTGGTGGGAGGATTGCTTGAGGCCAGGAGTTCAAGACCAGCCTGGTCAACACAGGAAGACCAAGTCTCTTAAAAAAAAAAAAAAGATTATAAATGAACTTTTAAAATGTCAATTTTAACTTCTTAGATCCATCCAGTTGAATCTCTCATTGTAATTCATTGCATGCTTTGAATAAAAAGCAATGGAAAAAAAAGTGATCCAGGAAAAAACATGAAAAGGTAAAAAGGTAGAGAGAAATTATTCTAGAATTTGATACTTGCAGGTCAAGCTGTCATCCTGTGGAGAAATAAGTCTGCTGTCTCTTCCATAAAACCCAAGGTAATAGGGAGCAGAAGAGAGAACAAGGGGGTGTTATTAAAACAGATCAATGCTTCTCGGTGCAGTCTGTGGATCTCATGGACTTCTCCCCAAAGGCCATATAGGTGAGGCTCACAAAGGTCAAGAAATTCACTCAATGTCTCATAGCCGATAAGCGGCAGATCTGGACTCAAACTGGAGTCTGACTCCGAGGCCTGATACAATTGTAGAACGAGGCAGAAAAAAGCCTCCGGGGGCTGATACCAGAGGACAGGTAAAGACAACCAGATGTTGGGCCTGCTTTTGCTGCACTTTCGGGAGCAGGACACATGGAGGCTGCATGACCTCTGACCTGCAATGAAGGGAGGAGTTGTCTTACCTCTTTGGAAGTCACATTTTCTAGATCCTGGCTCATCATGATGCTTCGGAGCTTGGCTTTGATGAGGCGCTCGGTCCTTTCCCCTTCAGTGGGCCTGGAAAGAAATGACGTTTAGGAGAGCAAGGAGCTGTAGAAAGCTTGTGGTCGGAGGTTACAGGAATGCCAGATGCTCCTGGGTCTAAACAGAACACGGCTTGGCAAGGAGAGCACGCTTCTTGGTGTGCATGTTCTCAGGCAGCAGGGAGAGGTGCACAGAAAACCCGCTGCAGCTCTAGAACTCCCACGGGAGTCAACAGAGCAGGGAGCAGGTCAAGCGGGGAGAGGACAGTGTGGAAACTCCTTGCTCAGACGCTCTTAGGGCAGGATGCTGGGATGCCCAGCGCAACATCCCCAGGCCCCTGGGCCCTTGAGTCTCTGCTCGAACACGTGTGGGCATGAGGACCTCACTGTCTGAGGCAGCCCGGCCCAGCTGCAGCAGATCCCATTATCCCCTTTTTCCTCAGAATCAAAATCTGGGTATTTCCCTGCTCTGGTTTTAACTCTAGGGGACACACAGACCAGGATAATCCTTCTTCCCCATGAGGAATCTTCAAATATTCAAAGGCAACTACCCTTCCTCCGTGATTTCAAGGCCCTCTCCTAATGTGGCTTCCCATCCCTCAGGTCTCTGCCCTCTGAACACACTGTGGTTTATCCATAGTCTTCCCAAAATGCAGTGTCCTGGAGGAACACCACACTGTGGGAGCAGGGTCCTGACCCCGAGGGGAGGGGCGACCAGCATTCTCCCTAACTAGACTTCAGCGAGTGTGGCCTCTCCATGTCAGCGCTGTCGTAGGTCACACGACACAGGTCATGTGGTTCACCATGGCTGCTGCTAAGGCAGGCTGCCCTCACCAGTTGTGTTTTTGGATCCAAGGAAGCAGAGGACACATTCCTAACTCTCCTCAGAGCAGAGCGGGAGGCTCTGAGAATTAAGTCTCTGGTAATCTGAAGAGAAAAGGCCAGACCACAGAGCTCTGGAAGGAGTTGGGGACACAAAGGGCCACACATTCCTTTGAGAGTCTGATGGGAGTTACGGACCCCGTCCCCAGAAATGCATTCACCAAATTCATCAGTAATTTTTTTTTTTTTTTTCTTTTTTTTGCATGGGACAGGGGCCTGTGTCACAGACCCCTGCTTTAAACGCTGGTTCTGAGAAAGCTAGGGTTCTCACTCAAGGGACTCCAGGGGAGGTGTGGCCCAATGCAGGTTCAGGGTCGGGCACAGGGCAGGTGGGGGAGAGGCAGGTGCCTGTGGGCTTGGGTGCGCTCACACCAGAGGCACCTCACTTACTTGTCCACAAATAGCGCGGGGGAGTCGGGCCGCGTAGACTCCAGGTCCTGCATGGCGTTCCACTCGTTGATGCAGCTCTGCTCGGAGCTGATGCAGCTCTCATAGTAGGTAGCCCAGATGAGAGCTACACCCCCGGGGAAGTAGTTGTGCCTCCGGGCCACTTCGCAGGCCTTGTGAAGCACCTGCAGGGCAGACCTGGGGCGAGGAGAAGACAGGGTCAGGCCTGGGAAGGCACAAGAGATGCAGGGTTTTCTCCTCTGACAAAGGGGTTCAAATACGGGAAGGGAAGGGCAATGATTGATTGGTTGATTATTTCTTTTTGGGACAGAGTCTCGCTCTGTCACTCCCAGGCTAGAGTGCAGTGGCACGTTCTCGGCCCAATGCAATCTCCGCCTCCTGGGTTCAAGCAATTCTCCTGCATCAGCCTCCCGAGCAGCTGGGACCACAGGCGCCCACCACCACGCCCAGCTAATTTTTCTATTTTTAGGAGAGACAGGGTTTCACAATGTTGGACAGGCTGGTCTTGAATTCCTAGCCTCAAGTGATCTGCCCGCCTCGGCCTCCCAAAGTACTGGGATTATAGGCGTGAGCCACCATGCCCGGCTGAGAAGTGCAGTTTGTAAAGGGCTCACTCTTGGAGTCACACTTACACATACAGGCGGCTGGGGAATGCATATAGCCTGAAACATTCAGCCCGCCAGGACACGGAGCTAGTCCTTGGGACATATTCACTGATTGAATCTAAGAGTGGCCAGAACACCCCACATTATTTCCAAAGAGCAGCAGAAACAAACAACAACAAACTACTTCATAACTCTTCCAATCAGGTGGTTCACGGGTTATTTTACAACCCATCAATTAACTCCAGAGAATTAAGAACTGCTCCTGAAGCGTGGTAACCCTGAACATATGTTCATATGACCCACATTGAACCTAAGACCCACAATTAAGCTTAGCAGCTGGAAGAAAAAGTCTTTAATATGCAACAGAGACATCTGCCTGCATTCTAAATAATTACATTTCCACCCATCCCCCCATCAACATTCTAATAGCTTAGATGCTTAGATTTCTTAAGAAAACAAGTTCTAGAAAGTCATTTTAATATAGAAACTAACTGAAGAGGTTTGGGGAGCAGACTGGGAAACAATATTAAGAATCTATGTTTTATTTAGTCACCCTCTTTTACTTCTTTTTTTTTTTTTTTTTTTTTTTTTTGTTTGAGAGAGAGTCTCACTCCATCGCCCGGGCTGGAGTGCAGGGGCGTGATCTCGGTTCACGGCAACCTCCATGTCCTGGGTTCAACTAATTCTCTTGCCTCAGCCTCCTGAGTAGCTGGGACTACAGGTGTGTACCGTCACACCTGGCTATTTTTTGTATTTTTAGTACAGACAGCATTTTGCCATGTTGGCCAGGCTGGTCTCAAACTCCTGACCTCAGGTCATCCACCCACCGTGGCCTCCCAAAGTGCTGGGGTTACAGTTGTGAGCCACCACGCCTAGCCCATTTTACTTCTTTTTACAAAAATATAGGCTGAGGCCAGGTACGGTGGCTCACGCCTGGAATCCCAGCACTTTGGGAGGAGGCTGAGGTGGGAGGACTGCTTGAGGCCAGGAGTTTGAGACCAGCCTGGGCAACATAGTGAGACCCCATCTCTACAAAAAAAAAAATAGAAAAGTTAGCCGGGTGTGGTGGCGCATGCCTGTAGTCCCAGCTACTTGGGAGGCTGAGGCAGGAGGATCACCTGAGCCTGGGAGGTCAAGGCTGCAGTGAACCATGATCACACCACTGCACCCCAGCCTGGGTGACGGAGCAAGACCCTGTCTCAAAAAAAAAAAAAAACGAGAAACCCCAAACCCCCCAACATTGTGAATATACTTAATGCCGCTAAAAATTGTGCCTTTAAATATGGTGAAAATGATAAACTTTATGTTACATGTATTTTGCGCCTCCCTCAACATGCACATACGTAACGAGCTTCTTGGTAGAAGGGGTTTTTCTATTCATGCTGTCGGCTAAGAAAATATTTCTAGGGAGTTAAAAGTCCCTAAAACCACACTTACCACATGGCCTGGACAGACACAGGCTTAAATATGTGCATCCTTCCTGCTGTGCTCACGCTGAACCCACTGAGAATAAAACACAGAGAGAAAGGTATCTGTGGTGAGAAATCAGCGCCTTGAGTGAAATCACTCTGGGAGGAGGGAGCCAAACCACTGCGCACGCTGGGAACAAGCACATCTCAGGCCACATGATGAGGGATTTTACGGAACCCGCTTTCGCAGAGACATGGGCAAGGGCAGAAAGAGACACATTCCCAGATGAGGAGGGCTTGTTTTTAACCCAGCACTGCGAGTTCCACCAAAAACTGAAACCCTAGCAAAGGGTGCCAGGTGAAGGCCTCCGAGAGCGTCTCTCTATGTTCCAACGTGGTTCCTGCCTCCCTGCCACCTCCTGTCCCACAGGCCCGGCCGTTCCTTTTTGTAATTGCATGGAAACTATATTCATAGGATTGCACGGAAAATAATCAATATATAAAAATATCTATTAATACATTAATATAAATATGTTAATATAAAATACTAATATAAAATATAAAAAATTAATACAAGCCAGGGGTGGTGGCTCACGCCTGTAATCCCAGCACTTTGGGAGGCCGAGGAGGGTGGATCACCTGAGGTCAAGAGTTTGAGACCAGCCTGGCCAACATGGTGAAACCCCGTCTTTACTAAAAATACAAAAATTAGCCAGGCATGGTGGCAGGTGCCTGTAATCCCAGCTATTCGGGAGGCTGAGGCAGGAGAATCACTTGAACCCAGGAAGTGGAGGTTGCAGTGAGCCGAGATCGTACCACTGCACTCCACCCAGGGTGACAGAGTGAGACTCCGTTGAAAAAAAGAGAAAAAAAAATTAATACAAAGATATTAAAATTAAAAAGGAAAAATATCCCCATAACCCCATCACTTAAACAACAAATCAAATTTTTATTTTTCTCTTCCCATCCTACAAGGCAACATAACTCTGACCTGCTTAGAATCCCCGTGTCAGGCCACTTTCCTATTCTGTTTCTTCCCACTCCTCACCGTGCCCACACACCTTCCTTGGGAGTGAACGCGTGCGGACGCTAGACGGCCCCTCATCCCCCGACTGCCTGCCCGGGTGGAACTGGTTCATTCCTCCTTTGTGGCCCCCAGGGTGGCGCTTGAAACCTTGTTGTGCCTGTCAGTTGTATGTCTCTCCTTGTACCCCCAAAGCTGGTGAGTTCCTGCTGCACCACATTAGTCCGTGAACTTTCAGGACAAGCCCCATGGAGGGCATGCGGTGAGAGTTCACTTAACCCATCGAGGTGGCGGATGGGTATCGGTTTACCGCTGTCTTGAACTTCACACAGCAGCATATCTCCTGTAATCACTCCCACTGATACTTCATGAGCTAAACTCCCCAATCAGACGTCCAAAACATACCCTCCCTCGTGCCCTCTCACTCGAGGGCAATATGATTTCTCCCGCTGTGACACTCCCGCCACACGTGTCATTCAGTGCTAATGATCATCCAAGGATGCCTGAACCAGCTCGTGTTTTCAATGCCTACTACATACAGTGAGAGAATCTTTTAAAGAGACCTCCTTACCCATCTCCATCAAGGTGGATTTTCGTGTCGCTCCACAGTCGGAGAACCATCCCAATGGTGCAGCTTTTACTGCGATGGGGGAGAGAAGACATGTGGAGTCAGCGTCTACCCACCTACGTGTACAGCCTTTCCAGCTCACCACCTGGTCCAGGACGGGCTGTTGGACGTACGTGTGGGAGTAGGCTGTCTGCATAGGAACCGTTCACTGATGAATTCTAGAAGACACAGGTCTGGGATGGCCCTGTGGACACAACTCCGTAAGTGCTCAGCTGAGGCTTTTGGGTGCAGTGTGGGCTGACCGCACGCCCACTCTACAGCAGGGAGGCAGCTGCCCAGGGCTGGTGCTCTGCTGGCGGAGGCCACATGTGTACTTGGGGGTACATAGGCAAGCACCGGCAGCCAAGCCCGGCCTGGCCTGTCCTGGGTGGCGGCAGGGGGAGCGTGCTCACACCGTTCCCGGAGCTCACTTTCAGACCTGTGCACCTGCGCCTTTAGTGTGGCTGCGGTTTTACAATCTCGCTTAATCTGGTTTTGTTTTGCCCATCCTACCAGTGAAATGAGACCGAATGACTGCAGAGACTGGCGCCACTGAAAAACAGAGGGAAAGAAAGGGCTTATCGGAGAGTCCTCAGATTATGATGAAAATTCTTCAGGCATTTAAAAGTCGACTTGTGAGAAGCCGCTGTAACCGTGCCAAGAGCCAGCTCTGTGGACCTCAGGAATCTCATGCTTCCATCTCTGCTGCTGCCAACACCACGGTCATGTTTTATGTGTGCCCGTGTGAATGGGGCCTCTGGGGATCACAGACCCAGCTCCCCTCCCAGGTAGCGCCCTGCCCCATGCAGGACTCTTCTCAACCCCATGCTTCTATATCTGTGGGGAAGGTTGTTCCAAGCCCTTCCGGCCAATGACACTCAGGCTTTTGGGTTGGGCAAATTCTCAGGTCCCTCCGTGCCATCCTACCCACTCTGGAGGGACTAACTAGTATTTCTCTTATAGCACTGAAAAATAAAATTTATTTTGGGCCTCACAGAGCTCTAGGGACCACGTGGCTGTGTCAGCCCCAGGAGGAGGCAAGGAAAGGGTCCCTATGGAGCCCAAATCCGACAGGCAGAAGCCAGGTCAGATGGTGCCCTGAGAACGTGCAGTCTAGAAGACCCAACCTGAGCCCTGACAACCCTCACCAGGAACTCATAAGGAGGTGGGTACAGCACAGAGAGCTGCAGAGAGCACAGGACGGGGGCAGGGCCAAGGCCAGGCCTAGGCCAGGGGCGGGGCCTTCCAGGGCAGGCGGAGGTCAAGGGGGCAGGGATGAGACTGCCCATGGGAAATAAGGGGCACATAAAACCATGTGGAACCTAAGCCCCTAGGCCGGCCTCCCTTGGACAGAGATGCGCAAGAGGCTCAGCCCACAGGGGACTTCTGCTCACGGCCTTCAACTAGAGCCAGGAGCATGGAACAGGGACCATACAGGACTGCAACAACTGCACGCATCTCCTATCATCCCCTAGCTGTTACTTTTGTGAGTTTCCAGCAGTCCTACAATGATTAACAATAAGATTTCTACAAGGAAGGAAGACCCATGGGAAGCATATTTTTCTTTTCTTTTTTTTTTTTTTTTGAGCCAGAGTCTTGCTCCGTTGCCCAGGCTGGAATACAGTGGTGTAATCACAGCTCACTGCAGCCTCGACCTCCAGGGCCTAATCAATCCTCCCACCTCAGCCTCCTGAGTAGCTAGGACCACAGGCACATGCCACTATGCCCAGCTTTTTAAAAAAAACTTTTTTGTACAGATAAGGCCCCACTATATTGCCCAGGCTGGTCTTAAACTCCTGGGCTCAAGCAGTCCTCTTGTCTCCACCTGGGGAGCATACATGGGAAGCAGGAAAGGGATACATAGTAAGGGAAGCTGAATCTTTTTAGAGGAAGAGTGACCCCAAAGGATAAAGTGGGTGGGAGCAATTGCAGAAGAAGAAAGCAGGCTCCAAGTTCCTAGGGCCTGTATGGCGGGAACAGAGAAGCCAGATGGGTCTGGAGGTCCAGGCAGGAGACCAGCCTGTTCCAAGACCCCATCGTGGAGTCCTTCACCAATGGCAAAACACTGATGTGTGGATGGTGGTGTACACTCATGGCATTCAAAATGTTCCCAATCCGAATCGAAAACATAATCCTGCTCGGGTGTGGTGGCTCATACCTGTAATCCCAGCACTTTGGGAGGTGGAGACAAGAGGACTGCTTGAGCCCAGGAGTTTGAGACCAGCCTGGGCAATAGTGATTTTTTTAAAAATTATATATAAAAAAAAATTAGCTGGGAATGGTGGCATGTGCCTGTGGCCTCGGCTACTCAGGGGGCTGAGGTAGGAGAAATGATTGATTCTGGGAGGTTGAGGCTGCAATGAGCCTTGATTTCACCACTCCAGCCTGGGTGACAGAGCGAGATCCTGTCTCCAAATTAAAAAAAAAAAAAAAAAAGGAAGGAAAGGGAAGGGGAGGGGAGGGGAGGGGAGGGGAAGGGAAGGGAAGGGGAAGGGAAGGTGAAAGGGAAGGGAAGCGAAGGGGAAGGGGATAGGGAAAACAGGAAAAGAAAGAAGAGAAGAGAATAGAATCCACGATTGAACCCTAAGGTGGCATGGCTGCTCTGGTCTTCCCAGGATGCGTATGCAGATATAAGACTCTGAGTGAGGCCGGGTACAGTGGCTCACGCCTGTAATCCCAGCACTATGGGAGGCCGAGGAGGGTGGATCACTTGAGGTCAGTAGTTCGAGACCAGCCTGGCTAACATGGTGAAACCCTGTCTCTACTAAAAATACAAAAACTTTCCAGGCATGGTGGTGCATGCCTGTAATCCCAGCTACTCAGGAGACTGAGGCAGGAGAATCGCTTGAACGCGGGAGGCAGAGGTTGCAGTGAGCCAAGATCGTGCCACTACACTCCAGCCTGGGTGATAGAGTGAGACCCCATCTTAAAAACAAAAACAAAAACTTTGAGAGTGCGCAAGCCTGCTGCAGGAGCCGCCATTCCAATGCTGCCTTCTGGAGAAGCGTTGGACTCTTATGAAGATGCCCTTTGGGGGTAATGCTTGTCTCTTCCTTTTTTTTTTTGGCAGGGGGAATAAAAAAATAAAATCCCAAGGAAGGAATTTAGAAAAAACAAGTACATTGCTCCCTCAGCAGGCCAAAGGCTTCTGGCGGGGACCTGGACTTTTTTTCAAGCCAGGAAGGAAGACAACAGCCTGGTGCCCGGGCAATGTGGGAGCTGCAGGAGAAGGCCCAGTTCCCAGCCCCCGGGATTCCCTGGGCACAGAAGGCAGCTGTGTCAGGCCCAGCGACAGGAAAGACTGCTTAGTTCCGGTTCCCATCAGGCCCCTGCTCATCTTGGGTGGCCTCTCAACCGCCCTCTCCAACCTCAGAGACCTGCCCTGGCCTTGGGGTCGGTGCCCACAGGTGGGCCGTGGCTCCTGCTCAGAGGGTGCAGAGACTCGAACTTGAGGGAAGAGCATGCAGGAGAGGCGAGGGAACCACAGGGAGAGGGACCTGGGAGAACTGAAGTCGGGGTGCCGAGGGGAGGCAAAGGGAGGAGAGGGTGGGAAGGAAGAGCGCCATGGGGGCGGTGCGGACGAGCGCACGGGCCAGTCTCCTCCAGCCAGGCAGCAGCGGAGTGGGATGCGCATGTGGGCATCTAAGGCATGCCCGTGACTGCTGGCCTGTGAGCTCTGTGAGACTGTAGGTGTGTCTGCCGTGCTCCCTGATGTGGCCCCAGCACCTGGCGGGGCGCCCGGCACAGGGAAAGAGCTAGCAAGTCCATACATGATAAACCTAGGAGTGAATGAATGAGCAAGGTGGTGTACAGGAAGAGAGCTGCAGCCTGCTGGGAAAGAATGAGTGGCATCTACTCATTCAGCAGGTCGACAGGAAAAGCCCTGCCTCCAAGTCCCAGCCCGGCCACTAACCGGGATGACCCTGGGGTAATCACTGCAGCCTCGTGAGCTTCTGACTGTCATGTGTAAAATCTGAGGTAGCACTACCCACCCCAGGGGGATGAAGGGGTTAAATGAGATGTTCACAGAGGCATTTTGTAGGTGTGCTGTACTCTACAGTCAGGAGGACTGGGCTTCCACACTGCTCCCACGGTTAGGATCAAGACATTGGGCACAGGCCATGGGAGGCCGATTTCCGTTCGGGATCAGAAAGCATTATTGGAACAGGCCACACTTGCGAGGGAAGTCCCTGCCTCAGAAAGATTCAGAAAAGCTAGACAGTCACTGGAAGAACAATTACAACCGCAAGACGGTCAAACACTAAACACCGCTATGCCTCAGAACCGTACAGATAATGGCCAAATAGATGGGGCTCTGGGCATTTCTGAGAGCACCTGCCTGGTGGCACCCCATCCTAATGGACCATGCCCTCCAGTCTCCAAGTGGCTCTTCAGAGCTCACATCCGAACACCTCCTATGCTACAGGTTCTTCTAGCCCCAGGTTCCCAACCACCCCAAGGCCACAGAGGCCAGCCCCAACTCCATCTTCTACATGTGTCACAGGAAACTTTCTCATAGTGCTATTTATTATGTACTGCGGGGGTGGGGGCCATGTCATAAAAGAAATGTCCTCCCTTTTTTATTCATCTCCTTCTAACAAGCATCAAAGTCTCAGTCGCTAGCATGTGACTTACAGAAGCTCTCATGGGAACAAGACAAGACCATACTGTTACCGTGACACTCACGGCCTCCCTGACTGGTTTCTGCTGTTGATTCTGCCTCAAATGCTCCTCAAATGCACCTTGCTGCTCCGCCTCCACCCTAGAGCTCGCCTGACTGCCCACTTGCCCGTTAAGAGTCGGCTTAGGCTTCACTCCTGCCAGAAAGGTCCTGCCAGGTGCTCTCAACAGTCACCCCCTCCTGTGGTCTCACAAAACCCCAGCACCTCTCGGTCACTCTCTCCCTCCTATCTGGTTGTGACTGTCTTCCATGCTCACTTAGAAGCTCTCTGAGGCCAAGAACTGTGTGTACTGTTGCTTCTTTGTTTACCTGGGCCTAGCCCATTGCCTCATACACAGGAGAATGCAAATAAATCATATGCTTAATGAATGAGTCGATGAATGAATGATGAATAAAGGGAATCTAATCTAGTTTTAACAAATCCAGGTTTTGCAATGATCTCACAGGCATTCATTTATCTTGTGATGTCAGGGGAGTGACTCCACCCTCATTTCACACGCATCTTGGGGTCAATGCTCTAACTTACTTGGCCTCCAGTTAGTGGGAAATTACAAGCTACACTTCAAGCCTCTGACTAGGACCTGCCATGAAGTACTTGGGAATCAGTGGAGTATCACTGTGGGGTGAGGTGTCTGAGGCGAGGCCCACCAATCTCCATACTTCTCCCCGGGCCCCTCTGCCTGAGAGGGTCTCCCTGCTTCCCTTGGCAGACTCTGGTTTGGCCTTCTGGGTTCGGCGTTGTTGTCACCTCCTTCAGGAAGCATTTCTGGCTAAGGTGCCCCACTCTATAGCAGCTGGTGTAAAACCTCTCTAAGCAAACAGCATAACTTTCTGTCCTCTCAATTGACTGAGTTCTGAGAGCACAGCCTGGAGCTGGCACGGTGCCTGGCACAGAGAGCTGAAATGGCACACCCTAGTGTTCCCAGTGGCTCGACTCCCCAGGCTCTCCATCAGGACGCAGCCCTCTCCCACCTCTGATGGATATGGGACCATGGAATGCTTTGTCCAGCAGCAACTCTTGCCTCCCTCACAGAAGGGAACACCTAGCCCATCAGACTCACCTTTCCTTACTGGAAAAGTCCACTCCCAGCAAGATATTCTCCTCGGTGTCCTGGCGCCCGCTGCTGTACACCACCACCATGTACCGGACCCGGTCCGCCCAGGCGCTCTCCAGGCGCACTGCCTGGAACAGGGCAGACATGCTCTCACTAACCTGCCTTTGGAGGTGGTGCCTCCCTCCCATCTCCAATGCAAGATCAACACTTTCAGTGTTCTACCTTTCCCTCTGGGAGTTAAAAATGAAGAGAAAATTCTTGGCTGGGCATGGTGGTTCAGGCCTGTAATCCCAGCACTTTGGGAGGCCAAGGTAGGCAGATCACTTGAGGTCAGGAGTTCGAGACCAGCCTGGCCAACATGGCAAAACCCCATCTCTTACTAAAAATACAAAAATTAGCTGGGCATGGTGGCGTGCGCCTGTAATCCCAGCTACTCAGGGGACTGAGGCACGAGAATCTCTTGAACCCGGGAAGCGGAGGTTGCAGTGAGCTGAGATCATGCCACCACATGCCAGCCAGAGCGACAGAGTGAGATTCTGTCTCAAACAACAACAACACAACAAAACACAAAGCGGAAGTTCTTGACAGCAGGAACCAGGCCTCGTTTCTCTCTGTAGCACCAGGGACGCCGCCTGGCTCAGAGGAATCACCCAAAATGCAAGAAATCAGTGAACACATGAAATCCAAAGAAAGTTCGTATTTAGCTTATTTAACTGCCGTGGAGACCTGTTTCATCCCTCCTCCCGCCCCTCTGGGGAACTGAGGAGTCAACCTGGCTTTGGCTTTAGTGCACAATTTGAGAATTTGTTGTAACCTAAAAGCTTTTCCCCTTATCATTCACGAATGGTTCCCCACCAGGTTTCACAATTAAAAATTAAAACTTGCTGGCTGGGCACGGTGGCTTACACCTATAACTCCAGGACTTTGGGAGGCAGAGGCAGGAGAATCATTTGAGGCCAGGAGTTCAAGACCAGCCTGGGCAAAATAGCAAGACCCCATATCCACAAAATTTTTTTAAAAATAAGGCAGGGTGGTACACACTTGTAGTCCCAGCTATCCAGGAGGCTGAGGTGGGAAGATTGCTTGAACCCAGGAGTTTGAGGCTGTAGTGAGCTAAGATCATGCCACTGCACTCCAGCCTGGGCAACAGAGCAAGACCCTCATCTCACAAAAATTAAAAAAAAATTTTTTAACTTGACATTCTCACTGCTTCTTACCAGCTTGATTCTGTCTTCGCAACGCAGAAGGTTGATCATCACCTGAAGATGTTGAGGCAGATCACCTGTTGGACCAATAAAGAAAGCTTTAAAAGGTCTCTTACCTACTCTCTAGGAAAAAAAACCTCTGAAAGGCTGACTTTGAGGGCTTGGAAAAAGATTGAGAAGTTAAAATTTGTCTACCTACACCACAGGAGAATCACCACAAAAACTTCAAGTCTGAATTTCTCTTACACCACTCTGAATACTGTGCGACGTGGATGGGTGACATGGAGCTTACTGTCATGTTGTTAAAAGTTGCTCTTATTTCCTGAAATACATACAGTATAGGTTTCCAAATACAAAATGTGAAAAATACAGGCAAGCCTAGAGAAAAATGTTATTTCATTCAAGCCAATGTTACTCGGCAGGTTGGGGTGCCTAGAAACGACAGCTGTGGCTGGAAGTAAGGCATTTGCTAAGAGTTAATCATTAGAGAAAAAGGACAGAGCATCACGTTTCCTCTTCAAACAACTTCTTCTTCTATACAGAGTCTCGCACTGTCACCCAGGCTGGAGTGCAGTGGTACGATCTCAGCTCACTGCAACCTCCGCCTCCTGGATTCAACAGATTCTTCTGCTTCAGCCTCCTAAGTAGCTGGGATTACAGGTGCCCATCACCAGACCCGGCTAATTTTTGTATTTATAGTAGAGATGGAGTTTCACCATGTTGGCCAGGCTGGTCTCGAACTCCTGACCTCAAGTGATCTGCACGCCTCAGCCTCCCAAAGTGCTGGGATTACAGGCATAAGCTACCCCACCCAGGCCCCACTTCAAACTTCTGCATTTTCCACTGGAGGCAGACATTATTTCCATAACCGGGGGGGCGGGGGGAAATGTTTAAGTGACTCTACAGATAGCAGCTGTATGCTGGTTGCCCAGAGAAATAATTTGAATAGAAACCAATCTGTCATTTTCTCTTTTCTTGCTAAAAATTATGTACTCTTTTTTCTTCACTATGTAAAACAGGCAGTAACCAGGGACGGCTTCTGAACTTCTCTGAGCTGCCCCAGGGTTCAGGAGGTGTTCCTGGAGTGCAGTGAGGAAAGTCTCTTACTGGCCATGAGTCTCGCGCGAAGCAGAGACCCTGTCAGAAGAAGCGCACACTTTCACGGAGGGGAAAGTTGTAAGGGAGGTGCATAATTAGTAAGTAGCAGGTGTGACTCCAAGGTTGCTTTTTTTCTCTAGCTTACACATTTTTCTTTATATCTGCAAGGATTTCTTTCTGAAGAAAGGGTCATCTGTAGAGATGCTAATATCAGCCTGGTGTGGTGGCTCACACCTGTAATCCCAGTGCTTTGGGAGGCCGAGGCAGGAGACTCACTTGAGGCCAGGCATTCAAGACCAGTCTGGGCAACATGGCAAGACCCCATCTCTACAGAAAAGTAAAAAATTAGCTGGGCTTTCTGGTTCACATCTGTAGTCCCAGCTACTTGGGAGGCCAAGGCAGGAGGATCGCTGGAGCCCAGGAGTTTGAGATCACCCTGGGCAACACGATAAGACCCTGTCTCTACAAAGGAAAAAAAATTACTCTATACATCACAATTACAACCCCAAAAGGATCAATAATGCTTACACACTCAAATGCTCCAAAAGGAAACATTGTGTTTGTTCCTTTTGCAAAAGCATCTTTTTCATTTTAAGGGAGAAGGACAGATGATGTCCAAATTGCACTTCCTGTCTCAGAGAGGAATTGGGTCATTAGAAATTTGTGCCTCTAGCCAGGAGGGTAGATCTCATGTTAAGCGTTCTTTCTTTTTCTTTTTTTTTCAATAGAGACAGGGTTTTGCCATGTTGCCCAGGCTGGTCTCGAACTCCTGGACTCAAATGATCCTCTCACCTCAGCCTCCCAAAGTGCTGGGATTATAGGCATGAGCCACCAAACCCAGGCCAATTAAGCATTCTTTCCACAATAAGTAAAATTTAAAAAAGAAAAGAACCATGCCCCTCTTATCTGTCCTCTCCAGTTATACAATTCCACAGTGTATAACACCCTGTGTTGACCCTGCTTCCTATGATGAGCGATTTGGAGATAAGGGTTCACATTAAAGAAAGCCATAGACCTCCCCAGCCCCTTCCTCCACCCGTCATGTCACCAATGCAACACAACGACAACGACCATGAGCTGGTTCTTCACCTGCCTGGGCCCTCCCACCATCTACCCGAGTCACAGAACTGCATTGGGGAAAGCAAAAACAAACCCCTGTCTGATAAATGCCTAAATGAAAGGGACATTTTCCACACAGATAAACTTCTTTCAGTGGGATTGTTTGCTGAGATATGGAACTGCTGACAGACAGAAATCCAAACCCCAGTCTGACATCCACACACAAAAAAATCAGAGAATATAAGCCCTAGAAAGGGTCTCAAATTGACTGGACTGGCTGAAACAAACTGAACTACTTTTCCAAGGACAGAATTAACCCTCAATTGTACTCAGCTCTGCACAGTGGTTACTGGGGGGCCTCTGGTACATTCAGGAGACTTGATGGTAATTCTAGGGAAAAAAAGGAACTAACGTAAGTCTAGTCTGCGTCTGTCCCAAGGTCATTTACAGACCAACTGTGGACAGCTGGCGGCCCCTCTGCCTTCCGACCTCATCGTCCACTCCAGACCTCAGGGCACAAGAGTCAGCCAGCTGGTGGCTTGCATCCTACCCTTCTAGTCTTTGGATTAGAGGAAGGAGGTATCTGACACTTAGTGAGCAGAGCTTGAGCATTTGCTTTGTCATATGTGTTACAATTAAAACATGAACAACAGCTACATTTCTAAGAGGGCAGAATAATTAGCAAATTCAAGAACGAAGAATCTGGCTGAGTATGGCACCTCAAACCTATAATCCCAATGCTTTGAGAGGCTGAGGTGGGGAGATGGCTTGAGGCCAGGAGTTGGAGACCAGCCTGAGCAACATAGTGAGTGAGACCTCATCTACACACACACACACACACACACACACAACTAGCTGGGTGTGGTGACACGCATCTATGGTCCCAGCTACTCAGGAAGCTAAGGCTGGACAATCACTTGAGCCCAGGAGGTCGAGGCTGCAGTGAGCTATGATCAGGCCACTGCACGCCAGCCTGGGCAAGAGAATGAGATCCGTCTCTAAAAAAACTTTTCATATAATTAAAAAAAAAAAAAGAATGAAGGGTCTGTTTATAGCTGTATTGTACTAGAAGTCATCGTAATAACAATGATAGTTACCCATATATATATACAGCACCTACTACAGGTAGGTATGTTACACGCATAACTCTAAATTTCCATATTGTCTGAGGCACCAGTATTTGATGCCCATTGTAAAGACTAGGAAACTGAGGCTTAGAAGTCGACCTGTTACGGCTTAGTAAGTTGGAGAACTAGGATCAGAAGACAGGTCTGCCTGGCTTCAAAACAAATACTATTTCCACAAACCACACTGCCTCCTTGTACAGGACAGTTATTTTCTTTGCTTAAAACAGACCTAAATATCATCAACATCAGTATGTGAAAATACTGACTGAGCCTTGGTGTTTGCTATAAATTGCATGGTGTAGAATTCTAACCTGAGCACTCAGATCTAAAATGAAGCTGAATGACTTGAGGTTAAACAAACAAAATGTTCACAAGAAAACTGGCCACAATAGCTGGTTGGTTTCACCTGCTGCTGTTCTGAAAGGTAAAGGCCTTCTCAGCTCACAGACATTCAATTATGCACTGCCTCTCCAAGAAATGCCCTGAGATGCTGTCCACCTACGACAAAGATCCACTTACATGCAAGCACTTTTTCCTCTTTCTTTCTTTTTGAGATAGGGTCCTTTTCTTTTGTCACCCAGGCTGGAGTGCAGTGGCGCAATCGTGGCTCACTGAGCAACACAGTGAGCAACATAGTGAGACCTCATTTACATACACACCCACAAAAAACTAGCTGGCTGTGGTGACACATCAGCCTCGACCTCCTGGGCTCAAGCAATCCTCCCACCTCAGCCCCCAACCTTGCTGGGATTACAGGCATGCGCCACCACGCCCAGCTAATTTTTGTATTTTTTGCAGAGATAGGGTTTCACTGTGTTGTTCGGGTTAGTCTGGAACTCCTGGGTTCAAGCGAGATCTGCCCACCTTGGCCTCCCAAATCCTGGAATTACAGGCAAGAGCCACCGTGCCTGGCCATAAGTGTGTTTTGTTGTTATTGTTTTTAAGAAACAGAGTCTCTCTCTGTCACCCAGGCTGGAGTGCAGTGGCGTGATCCTAGCTTGCTGCAGCCTCAAACTCCTGGGCTCAAGCGATCCTCCCAACTCAGCCTCCCAAAGCACTGGGATTACAGGTGTGAGATACCATGCAGGGCCACGCAAGCATTTCTTGAATTCCTCTTTCTAACTGCCTTCAGCTCTGAGTCAAGTCTCCTAAGAAAACCAGTCTTACTACTTAGTAGGCACTTCTTATTTAAACTCAGTTTGATCCTCACCCTATTACTTCTGTCTACTTCCTAAAAACAAACTATTACAGAATCAAGACTTCCTACTACAGTGTCTATCTCAGAGTTGGAGCCAAAGGCCCTTCAAGAAATTCTCCAAATGAGTGTTTTTCAAATGCTTGGAGAAATCCATCCCAAGATTAGGTATACAGCACTCCAGATGGTTATTTTCAAGTGGACGACATCTGGCTATAATTCATTTTGGTGCATTTGTTAAAAAGTCAGGCTGTAACTTACAGCCTGCAATTAACTGATAAACTACAGAGAGGAAATCTTTGCATCCCAGCAGGATGCTGCTGACCTTACTCCTGACGCAGACAGACATGACATAAAAGGTTGGAAAATGTGCGTGGTCTGCTCAAGAGAGAGCATCTGAGCCTCTGCCTGCACTGGTCACTGCAAACCTGCGTCCACTATGTCTAAGGCCTTCAAACTCAGCAACATCACCAACAATGGAAGTTTCCTCTGCTGTCCAGAAAAGAAGCTCCAATGTAAGAGTATCAACTTAGAGCCCTCACCTGCATGCTTGTGGGGGTGCTGAAGACTCCGCTGGCCTTGAGGGCTGCTTCCCTGTTGTAAGAAGAGGGCTGCGCCTTTCACCATGAAAAAGCTCTCACTTAAGCTGGGAAGGATAAGACCAGAGCACAGTTAGACCGGAATTCAGACAGGAAAATGGACAAAGAATTACTGCAGGGGAAAAAGCTTTAGCGTGGACAAATGGCATGTAAAATGCAAATAGGATGAAACTGCTTTTATAATAATTCCACGTAGTACTTTTCTCAAACCTTGCTTTTGCTAAAAGCTTGCTGCTGGAGAATTTTCGTGACAAAATAATGCTTCTGTGACAACACCCAAAGTTCTACATAGGCTCTCCAGGGCCCCTTTCTGCAGAATACTGGACAGGGATCTCACTGTCATATAACATTTTCTTCTTTCTTTTTTTTTTGAGACGCAGTTTCACTCTGTCATCCAGGCTGGAGTACAGTGGTGTGATCTCAACTCACTGCAACCTCTGCCTCCTGGGT